>NC_000009.12:38949393-39100909 GCF_000001405.40 Homo sapiens | reverse complement strand
CTAAAAACTGCATTTTCCAGAAACTCTAGGTAATTTCCATGCTCCTAACATTGAGAATTGTCGCCTTCATAATGGTGTTTGTCACTACACAGGTGTTGTAAACCTCTCTAAATGGTTTCTTCAGCATTCAAGTTTGACATGACAAAATGTGCATGCATGCAGTATTCAATTACTGTTTAGCACTGTACCCTCTGAGAGGAGGAGATCCTGGGGTACGGTGTCACCCCTTCCAACTTCCCCTCCTTTGCCTCTCCATTTCCTTTCACACTTTATTTTTAGAGTCCATCCAAGTAAGAAATTATCCATATATATTTTTATTATTGTGAAAAATTTGGAAGTTCATACCTAACCATTATAATGCACATTCTTATTCATAAAGAAATTAAAATAATGTTTGATGAATACACATTCTTATTCCTAAACAAAGTAGAATAGTGTTTGATGTGGTTTATATTATGTATTTTGTTCTTTGTGAAGGAACTAAAGTGAAATTCTTTCTTACCTGAAGTTAAGGAAATGTTTTAGGACTATTTGCCAGACTCACCATGTTTGAAAGTTATGTAAATAAGTGTTTTATTCAATGTCATTTAAAGCTTCATGTCTCATAACAGTTACATTTTCAAAATTGTGTATGTTCACAAAATTTTTTGACACATTGTGATTATTGCCACTCTCCATAAGGCCTGAGTTTGACATGGACATAAAATCCTGAATAAAATACCAAGGAACACATTTCTATTTGCAGTGTTTCCGTTGTAGGTGGAACGGCCACCAGACAGAGAGGCTTTCTAGGATGCATTCGGTCTCTGCAGTTGAACGGGGTGGCCCTGGATCTGGAAGAAAGAGCCACAGTGACGCCAGGAGTGGAGCCAGGGTGTGCAGGACACTGCAGCACCTATGGACACTTGTGTCGCAATGGAGGGAGATGCAGAGAGAAACGCAGGGGGGTCACCTGTGACTGTGCCTTCTCAGCCTATGATGGGCCGTTCTGCTCCAATGGTAAGTGTGACCAAGGAGCAGGTTATAGGGAAAGTACATGAAACTTAAATAACATGAAGAATGCTTCTGGCATTTGATATTATAAAGAGAGGATAAGATTGAATTATTTGAAATGGAATAATTTCTGTACCAAATTCCTCTATTGAATTTAGAAGGGATATGACTGTTTTTGAAAACTTAAGGCTATCAGTCCTCTCTGGGTTTCTTATTTAGAAGATCTCTGGGTTACCCCTAGCATCTGTTCAATGCTAATCCTCTTGAAATAATTTGGTTTTCAAAACTCTGTCCTTGTACTGTTCTAATTTTAACATCAGTAAACCATCATTGTTATTTTTGTTTTTAATTTTTAGAGACAACGTATTGCTATTCAAGCCTCTCTGTTGCCCAGGCTGGACTTGAACTCCTAGGCTTGAGCAATCGTCTTACCCATTGTCCCTTGTGACAATGACTTGAAGTGATTCAAAAGGCCTTTATAGAAATGTCTTTTCTTATAAAACAAGCATACTAACTAGAAGGGGAAAATAATATTTAAATATTGACAGTCATTAACAGGATCACTCAAACACTGTGCTCTATGATGTTTGACTCTTCTTAGAGGAGTGCAGTGGGGTATCACACAGCTTCTGCTCAGGTACAATCATGTTTTCAAAAGAAAAGGGCTGGGCGTGGTGGCTCATGCCTGTAATCCCAGCACTTTGGGAGGCCAAGGCAGGCGGATCACGAGGTCAGGAATTCAAGACCAGCCTGGCCAACATGGTGAAACCTCATCTTTACTAAAAATACAAAAATTAGCCGGGCATCCCAGCTACTCGGGAGGCTGAGGCAGGAGAATTGCTTGAACCCGGGAGGCAGAGGTTGCAGTGAGTAGAGATCGCACCACTGCACTCACTCCTGGGCGGCAGAGTGAGACTCCGTCTTGGGGAAAAAAAAAAAAAAGAAAAGGAAAAAGGGACTGATTTTAGTATTAAGTACTCTGTACTGACTTATTTAATATATTTATAATACTTTTATGAAACCTCTTACAATATTGAATCATCAGAGCTAAAATGTAGTTGTGTTTTTAAGTGTCTCTGGGCTGTTACACTTACTATTTTTAGCAGCAAAACAGGCTTTAATCACTATAAAATTGTGTGACTTTCAAAAAAATTTTGAGGATTCATTATCTAGAAGTCATTTAAATTTTCAAAAGGTCTTGCATGTGTCTTTTATCATTCCTGAAGATCTCTGTGCTAACAAATCTCATAGCTCTGGTGCAAATACAGAGCCCTTTTTATATCTCAAGCCAACATCAGGAGTAACCACTCCTTCATGAGCACAAGTGCTGATTTCTAAATCATTCCCAATCCACATTTGCTAAGTGCAATTTGAATGTTATTTTATAACCCAAAATTTTCTTAAGGATAGACATTATATAGTAAGTAAATGGAAAATGGTCCTCCAGTGGCTGGGGCATATGTTATAGTTAGATTACCTAATCTAATAAGAATGATCTGGATTTTCAGTAAATTCTTTATATTTTATGGAAATGGAAAGAGTGGAGTAGTATTCCAAGACAATGATCATCACCCAACATTGTCTTTTTATTTACAGATATATTTGGGGGGTGTGTGTATGTGTATGTGTGTACTAAACACATTTTTGGAATTAACTTGATATAAAATTAAAATATCAACCTTTCATAAAGTGTTTTAAGAGAATCTGAAAGCCCTTCAACTTTTCTCTCTCAGAATACTGTAGATACCACTTTGGATTAGCCTTTCTATCCAGACAGTAAATTTGAGAAACATCTTTGGCATAAAAGAACATTTCTAAATTCTGACCTTGAAGGAGGGTTGGTCTTCAAATCACCTTTTCTCTAGTTACTTCAGGAGCTCTGTTTCATGCTTCCTACAAAGCAAATCGATTTTTAAAGAGGAGGTAACATTCAAATAAAAAACCTGGTACTCTGGCATTTCCAGGCTGGCCACATAAGGAGCTCTGTAAACCCTCTCTCATACGAAACAAGCATAACTAGTAAAAATTATTATTTTAAAAAACAACTATTGAAAGTCTTTAGAAGATGTCCTAAGGAAATACATCAAATGAAGAAACATTTATTAATCAGTAATAATAGTGAGAGTTTGAGGCATTTAAGCCAAGACCCTCTCCCAGCACCTCCCCATCCCTAGCTCAGTATGACGGAAGCTCCACTCTATATGGATATAGCCAAGAAGCCAGAGGTTTCCTCTCTACCCAGGTCCTACTCCAGAGATACTGCATTACCCCAAGATTGGGTGCCAGCATTTCTTGTCATCCCCAGTTTTGTAGGACAGAAGCTCTGTCCACGCAGAAACAGCTGAGAAGTCTGGGGTTTCCTTCCTACACCAACTCCTCATTCCAGGACATAAGGTCTTCAGGTGTGGCAGCTGGAAAATCCTGTGTCCCAATTGCCCTCACTCCAGCTTACTTGTAAGGAACAGTTTCTCCACCAGGAGAGGCAAGGCAAGAAGTTACCTTTCCCACCCTGTGCCCTACTTGTAAGCAGAGGTTTTACTACAAAGGAGCAGGCCACTCTCACTCCCCACAGCTTCAGAGCAGTGAGGCACATTCAACCAAGAGGTAGAGGGAGGCCATGAAAATACACAGCTTGGTAGCCCTCCCCAAGTGAACTGATTTCTATTTGGAACAGAGGATGGATAAGTTTAAGCATAGTGGTATGAAGATATTGGCAGTAAGCAATTAAGAGAATTTTGATAACTCCAAGAGAGTAATGAGTTAAGCCAGGGAAGTTTAACAGAGAAAAGAAAAAAGAGTCAGCAAACTTGAAGCAAGATCAATAGAGATTATGTATCCTGAAGAATACAGAGAAATAATAATGAAAAAAATAGATCATCAGAGAAATATCAGACATAACTAAGCACACCAATATATACGTAATTGAAAATACCAGGAGAGAGAGAAAGGATCAGAAAAAAATATTTGAAAAATAATGGTTGAAAACACCCCCAAATTAATAAAAATCATTAATCTAAGATACAGAAACTCAGTGAAATACAGATGACACAAAGAAGTTTATATCCAGACACATCTTATTAAAAACTTTGAAAGCCAAAGTCAAGAAGGAAATTTTAAAAGCAGTAAGAGAAAAATCATATATACAAGGAAACGCCAGGATCAACAGCTACCTTCTAATCTGAAAGAATGGAGGCCACAGGACAGTGAGATAACATATTCAAAGAGATGAAAGAAAACTATTGTCATGAAGAAACTTACACCCAGCAAAACCGTCTTTCATGTTCAGTAGCACAGGATGACTATAGTTAACAATAATTTATTGTATATTTCAAAATAACTAGAAGAGTGGAACTGGAATGTTCCTAACAAAAAGAAATGATAAATGTTTAAGGTGATGGATATCTCAGTTACCCTGATTTGATCATTACACATTGTTTGGTTGTATCAAAATATTACCTCTACCCCATAAATAACGTACAACTATTAGGTATTCATAAAAACTAAAAATTAAAAAAGATAGTAAATATATCCCTACTTACAAAAAACAGAGAATTCACTGCTATTAGCCTGCATTAGAGGAAATAACAAAGAACGTTCCTTCAGGTTGAAGGGATATAACCCAGACAATAATCTGAATCTACACACAAAAAACAAATAGCACTAATAAAGGTAAGTGTGCAGGTAATTATAAAAGAAAGTATAATGTCATATTTCTTACCCTTTTCAGTGCTTAACTATTTTAAAAAGCAATGTATAAAACTATAATAGAGAATATACAAATATATAATGTATATATTTTCATTGTTGGGCCTATAGAAATATATTACAAAAAAACAGCACAGAGGAGACAGATGGGAGCAAGGCTGTACTGAAATAAGGAATGACACCAAATGGTAACATGAGTCAGAGGAACAAAGAAAGAGAACTAGAAATGGTAAATAAGAGAGTTTATAGACAAAGTCTATAAATATTTACTTGATCTTTTTTTTTCTCAGATTTTTTAAAAAGAGAACAAATTATATAAAATAATAATGGGTTTGGTATGCATAAAAATAGTTCCAAAACAGAAGAAATAGAGCTATGTAGAAATAACTTTTCTAAATCTCACTTGTATTAAGTTAATGTAAACCTGAAGCAGATTATTGATAAGATATATATAATGCAAGCTTAGAGCAATCACTAAAGAAAATAAAACATTGTCGTGAAATATATTAAAAGACCTATATACCAAAACGTAGTAGGATTTATCCCAGGATTTCAGGAGTGGTTCAACAAATGAAAATCAGTCAACATATTACACAAGATTAATAGAATGAGAGGGGAAAAAAAACATGATTATCTTAATTGTTGCTGAAAAAAAAACATTTAACAAACTCCAGTAACCTTTCATGATTGAAAAACAAAAACACTCAATAAACTAGGAATAGAAGGGAACTTTCTCAATATGATAAAGGCCATATATGAAAAACCTGCAATTAACATCATACTCAATGGTGAAAGCTTCCGTAAAATAAGAAACACGACAAGTATGCCCAGTTTTACCACCTCTATTTATCATAGTACTGGAAGTTCCAGCTAAAGTCATTAAGCAAGAAGAAGAAATAGAAGGCATCCAAATTTCAATAGAAGGGCTATCTCTCTCTCAGATTACCTTATCTTATATGTAGAAAACTCTTCAGGAAATAAAAGCTGTTAAGAGAAAATAAATAAATTCAGCGAAGTTGCAGGATACAAAATTAACACCAAAAATTTGGTTGTATTTCTCTACACTAGCAATGAAAAATCTGAAAGTGAGATTAAGGAAACAATTCCATTTGCAATATCATCAAAAAGAATAAAAAACTTAGAAATAAACTTAACCGAGAAAGTGAAAGACTTAGACATTGAAAACTATAAAACGTTGTTGAAAGAGATTAAAGAAAGAACTAAATAGATGGAAAGACATTCCATATTCATGAATTGGAAAACTTAAGATTATTAAAATGACAATACAACCCCAGCAGATTCAATCTAATTCTTATCAGAATCCCCAAAGCACTTTTTATACAAATGAAAAAGCCCCTATCAATATTTAAATAAAATTTGAAAAAGCCCAGAATAAGCAAAACAATTTTACAAAAGAACAAAGTTGGAGGATTCACCCTTCTTGACTTCAAAACTTACTATAAACTACATTATTCAAAACAATGTGGCACTGAATGAGGATAAACCTATAAATCAATGGAATAGAGCTGAGAGGCCAGAAATAAACCTACGTACATACAGTCAATTGATGTTTAACATAGTCTTTGTCAAGATCATTCAATAGGGAAGTAACAGTCTATTCAACATAAAGGTAGGAAAAGTGGATGTTCACATGCAAAGATTGAAGTTAGACCCTTACCAAAATTAACTCAAAATGAATCAAAGTTTTAAATCTAAAAGATAAAACTATAAAATTTTTAGAAGATATATAGGCAGATCTTCATGATCTTGGATTTGGCAGTGGTTTTTTAAAAATCACCCCAAAAGCACGGGCAACAACAACAATAAAAATAGATTATTTGGACTTTATCAAAATTAACAACTTCTGTGTATCAAAGAACACTATCAAGAGAGTAAAAAGACAATCCACAGAATGTGATAAAATATTTGCAAATTATGTATCTGATGGAGGTTTACTATCTAGAATATGTTAATAACTTCCACAACTTAACAACAAAAAGTCTAATTGGACAAAGGACTTGATGAGACATTTCTCCAAAAAGATATACAGAGTCAATAATCACATGGAAAGATGATACTCAACATCATTAGTTATTAAAGAAATACAAACGAAAAGTATAATGAGCTGCCTCTTCAAACCTACTAGATTGACAATAAAAATAAATAAATAAATAAAAACAGAAAATAACAAGTTTTGGCAAGAACCTAGAGAAATTGGAACTCTCTTTTGTTACTGGTGGGAAAGTAAATGCCACAGCCACTGTAGAAATTGATTTAGAGTTAACTCAAAGTAGTTAAACATAGAATTACCTTCGAACCCAGCAATTCCACTTCTACATATATAACCAAAACAATTGAAAACAAGAACTCAAGCAGATACTTGTATACAAATGTTCATAGTAGCACTAATCACAATAGTGGAAATAATACAAGTGTCCATCAACACATGAATTGATTAAAAAATGTAGTATATACATATAATGGTATATTGTTCAGCCATTAAAAGGAATGAGGTTCTGATACATGATACAACATTAATTGACATAGAAGACATTATGCTAAGTGAAATAAGCCAGACCCAAGAGGGCAGATATTATATAACTCCATGTTTACTAGATATCAATAGACAAATTTGTAGAGACAAAGTAGATTCAAGGATACCAGCAGCTGAGATGAGGGGGCAATGGAGAGTTATTGCTTAATGAATACAGTTTAATTTTGGGATGATGACAAATTTTGGGTATCAAAAGAGGTGATAATTGCACAACATTGTGAATTTAATGCTACTGAATTTCATATTTTAAATGGTTAAGTGGCAAATTATATATTTATATATTTTACCCCAAAGTATAGTGAAATCAAGAAAGAAATTAAAATGTTACACTCCAAAATATCCACCAACACAAAATAATAAGTCAGAAGGAAAGTGAAAAGAAAACAAATGAAACACATAGAAAAAGAAAAAGAAAATGGCAGATGTAAATCTAACTGTATCAATAATAATATTAAATGTTCATCGATTGAGCAACCCAATCAAAAGACAAATATTGTCAGAATGGATAACAAAAGAAATCTTAACTATATGCTGTCTAAGGACATACAATTTAGATTGAAAGGGGTAATTTAGTTGAAAATAAAAGAAGGGAAAACATGTACCATGCAAAGAGTAACCCTAGAGAGCCAAAGGGACTATACTAATACCAGAAAAAAATAAACTCTAAAACAAAAGGTGCTACTAGAAACAGGGAAACTTTTATAATGATAAAAAGTTAACTCCCTCAAAAAGATATAACAATTACAAACTTATATGCAGTTAATAATATAGCCCCAAATTACATAAAGAATACCTGACAGAACTGAAAAGAGAAATAGAAAAACTAGGAATAAAACCTGGAGGATTCAATACTTCACTTACAATAAAGGATAATTACTCAGAAGATTACCAAGAAAATAGAGTTGAAAAAAATAAAAACGCAATCATTCTAACACACATCTGTAGAACACACCACTTAACAATAGCAGAATGTATATTCTTCTCAAGTGTTCATGGAACATATTCTAGGTTAGACAACATGCTACCTGTAAATCAAGCCTCAACACATTTAAAAGGATTGAAATCATATGAAGGGTCTTTTTAAAACACAATGAGATGAAAATAATAACATAAAGAAATTGTGGAATATCACAAATATGTGGAAATTAAACTATACACTCCGAAATCAAAAGGGAAATTAGAAAAGGTTTTGAGATAAATGAAAGCAAAAATACAACATTACTAAAACATATAGTAACACAGCTAAAGCAGGGTTTAGAGGGAATTTTAAAGCTGTAAACATCAATATTCAAAAAGAAAAATGGTTCCCAAATAAAAAACCTGACCTGCCACCCTAAGACACTGAAAAAAGAAGAGCAAACTAAATCTAATGTAAGGAGAAACAGGAAATAATAAATAAAACAGGAGAAATTTCTCAAATGGATAATATAAAAGTGACAGAAAAAATTAACCAAACCAAAAGTCAGTCCTTTAAAATTGTTAACAAAATTGGCAAACCTTTAGTACAACTGACCAAGAATAAAAGAGATGATTCAAATTACTAGAATGACATATGAAAGAGTGATATTACTACCAACCTTACAGAAATAACATGGATTGCAAGAGAATATAAACAACTGTATGTTGAAAAAAATTACGTAACTTAGATAAAATGGACGAATTCCTAGGATGACACTAACTACAAAATTAACACAAACTACTACTTCTGTTTCAAGAAGGAGGAGAAAATATAAATTGGCCTATAACAATAAAAGGAATGTCTTAATAATATTAAAATACCACACAAAGTAAAGCCCAGGTCCAGATGGTTTCAAACAATTGATGCTATCAACTATCAGAATATATCAACTATTTAAAAATATATCAACTATTTAAATAAGAAGTATTCTTCAAAACTCTTCCAAAAAATAAAAGAGAAAGGAGCATTTTCCAACTTATTCTGTAAGGTCAGTATTTCCCTAATACCAAAGCCAGACATAGATATACAAGTATATATATTTTAAATCTACAGACCAATATCATTTAAGTAGATAGATGTGAAAACCCTGAACAGAGTATTACCAAAGCAAATCCAGTCACATATAAAAATGACTATACATCAAGACAAAGTGGAAATGATCCCAGAAATGGAAAGTTGTTTTAACAGCTGAAAATCAATTAATATAATATACTATATCTTAGAATAAAGGACAGAAACACATGATAGTCTCTACTGATGCAGAAAAGTCATTTGATAAAATCCAACATCCTTTCATGTATTTTTGTTTAAATTCAGTAAACTAATTATAGACGATAACTTCCTCAGTCTAACAAATGGTATTTTTGAAAAACTCATAGCTAAAATTATATTTAGTTTTAAAGACTGAATGTTTTTTTCCTAAGATCAAGAACGAGACAAGAATGTATACTCTCACTAGTTCTATTCAGCATTGTACTAGAGGTTCAGGCCAGACTGATTAGGCAAGAAAATGAAAAAAAAAAAAAAAGAAGAAGAAAAACATCCAAATTAGAAAGGAAATAAAACTATCTCTATTTGAGGATGACATGATTTTTTATATAAAAAAATCCCAAAGAATCTACTTAGAACTATTAAAACTAAAACCAAGTTCAGCAAAATTGCAGAATACAAAAACAATATACAAAATCAATTGTATTTCTACACATTAGCTGTGAACCATCTGAAAATAAAACCAGTAAAACAATTTTATTTACAATAGCATCAAAAAGAATAACATACATAGCAATACATTTAACAAAAGAAATGGAAAACACACTGAAAACTATAAAGCATTGAAAGAAATTAAAGGTAAATAAATGGAGAGATATTTCATGTCATGGATTGAATAATTAATATAAATAAAATACCAGTGTTCTCTAAAGTAATATACAGATTCAGTACAGTTTCAATCAATATCCCAGCTGGCTTCTTTCCTGAAATTGACAAGCTGATTTCATATGAAAATTTAAATGATGCAGAATAGCCAAAACAATCTTTAAGAAGAAGAAATTTGATAGATTCACACTGCCCAATTTCTAAACTTACTGTAAAGCAGTATATAACTGGCCTAAGACTAAACAGATAGCTCATTGGGATAAAATTGAAAGTCCAGATAGATACCTCGCCATTTATGGTCAATGGATTTTACAAGAGTGCCAGGACAACCCAATGGGAAGAAGTAGTCTCTGAGACTACTGAGTATACATGCACATGCAAATGAATGAAATTAGACCTCTATCTCACACATACATAAAAATGTACCAAATAGACCTCGATGTAAGAACTAAAACTATAAAACTCTTAAAACATGGGAGAACAAAAGAGAAGATAACCCACAGAATGGAAGAAAGTATTGCAAATCATGTCTCTTATAAGGGTCTAGTATTCAAATTATTTAAAGAGCTTTTACAACTGAATAAGATGCTGTGCGTGGTGGCTCACACCTGTAATCCCAGCATTTTGGGAGGCCGAGGTGGGCAGATCACGAGGTCAGGAGTTCGAGACCATCCTGGCTAACACAGTGAAACCCCATCTCTACTAAAAATACAAAAAATTAGCCACGCGTAGTGGCGGGCGCCTGTAGTCCCAGCTACTTGGGAGGCTGAGGCAGGAGAATGGTGTGAACCCAGGAGGCAGAGCTTGCAGTGAGCAGAGATCACGCCACTGCACTCCAGCCTGGGCAGCAGAGCGAGACTCTGTCTCAAGAAAACAAAAATAAAAACAAAAAACCAACAACTGAATAAGAAAAAGAAATTTAACCCAATTAAATAATAGGTAAAGCTTATAAATAGATATTTCTTCAGCAAATATGTGTGAATGTCCAATAAAATCATGAAAAAATAGTTGGCAACATTAGCCAGTAGGCAATCAAAGTCACAATGAAATACCTCTTCACACAGACAGGTATAGCTGTAATTTAAAAGAAAGATAATAATAAATGTTGGTGAGGATGTGGAGATATTAAAACCCTCATAATTGCTGTTTGGAATGTAAAATGGTATAGCTATTTTGGAAAAAATATGGCAGCTCCTCAAAATTTTAAAGTTGGTGTTATCATAAGATTGAACAATTTTACTCCTAGGTATATATTCCTAAGAAAAATAAAAACGTGTCCATAGAAAAACTTACACGTGAATTTTCATGGAAGCATTATTTATAATAGTCAAAAAGTAGAAACAACCCAAATGTCTATCAACTGTTAAATAGATCCGCAAAATGTGGCACATCCATTACTATTTACATCCAATGAAATATTAGTCAATAAAACGCATAAAATACTGATACATGCTACAAGATGGATGAACCTTGAAAATACCATGCTAAGTGAAAGAGGCCACATTGAAAAGACCACACGTTATATGATTCCACTGATATGAAATCTCTTGAATAGGAACCTCTGCAGAGACAGAAAGTAAATTAGTAGTTGCCTAGGCTGGGGTGTTGGGGAGAAACAGAGAATGACTGCTAGAGGTTATGGAGGTTTTTGTAGGAGGGAATAAGAAGGTGCTCGGGGGAGGGGAGTGAAAATACTCTAAAATTGATCATGGCAATGTTTGCACATGCCTGCAAATATACTAAAAGACATAGAATTTTACACTGTAATTGGGTCTATTACATGGCATATGGATTATATCTGAATAAAGATGTTTAAAAATTAATAATTTGGGAAAAAATTGGAAACCAAAGATGAGATAAGTCACCTATAAATTATACATTTATACTGAAGAATTAGTTATATGTAAATATAAGATGAGGATGATTTGGAGAATTAAAATCTCTATTAAGTGTTAGTCAATTTTGGGTTATGAGTATATTGGAGTTTGCTACTTTTTCTTCAAGTTGTAGTTTTTAAAAAACTTTAAAAAGTGAAAAATAAAAAAACAGGAAAGGATTTCACTATTACTTTATCTCCCAGGATATTTAAGGTTTGGTCTCATTCTCTAAATGTACTTAAAACAAGACCGTTGGACTTACATTTTGTTAACATAACAAAAATGTATTTATCATTTCAGAGATTTCCGCATATTTTGCAACTGGCTCCTCAATGACATACCATTTTCAAGAACATTACACTTTAAGTGAAAACTCCAGCTCTCTCGTTTCTTCATTACACAGAGATGTAACATTGACCAGAGAAATGATCACACTGAGCTTCCGAACCACACGAACTCCGAGCTTATTGCTGTATGTGAGCTCTTTCTATGAGGAATACCTTTCAGTTATCCTCGCCAACAATGGTGAATATCTTTTGTGTAAAGAAAAAGAGAACCCTGAGTTAGAAAAATAGGACTGTAATGACATGGGTCTTTTCAGCAGTCAAACTACAAACGATGAGAGAAAACTGTATGCCCTCCAATGGGTTTGGTTTTTCAGTGCCTGCCTTAATGGTTATGTATAAAAGCTAGCATTTCAAGATTAAATTAAGATGCTTTTCTCCCATTACATGTTTGATAATTTTACGGAGTTGATATGCAGTTATATTTCTTATTATTGATAGGATGACTTTAATAGTACATGATGACTCAAATTGGTTTTGCAGTTCATTTTGAAATAAGATATCTAGATACATGACATACATTCCCTCCTCATTCTAAGCAAAATAGAGGAGCATTTATGTGGATGTTATAGTACAACTATATAAAAGCCAATTCCTATAAGCAACAGATAAGTACAGCTGTTCTTTATCTCATCAGTGGCTGAAAAACTAGTTATATCACTTTTATAGAAGAAAAGTGTAATGACAACCTCTCAAACAGTGGTAGTTGGGGCATTGCAAGGTTTTTACAGTTGAACAAGAAGACCAAGCTTTAAGTCTGTTAGGTACACAGCACAAAAATTTCATGCCTAGAAAAAAATCTACAAAATCTCTGAGTAGGCTGGATGTGGTGGCTCACGCCTGTAATCGCAGCACTTTGGGAGGCCAAGGCAGGCGGATCACGAGGTCAGGAAATCGAGACCATCCTGGCTAACACAGTGAAACCCCATCTCTACTAAAAATACAAAAAATGAGCCGGGCATGGTGGTGGGCACCTGTAGTCCCAGCTACTCGGGAGGCTGAGGCAGGAGAATGGCGTGAACCCAGGAGGCAGAGCTTGCAGTGAGCCCAGATCGCGCCACTGCACTCCAGCCTGGGTGACAGAGCGAGACTCCACCTCAAACAAACAAACAAAAAAAAAAATCTCCGATTAACAGGATCTTAGTATAAACTAAAAGAGAATTACAGATAATGAGGGCACATCTGTGTAGGAGAGGGGTATGTATATTAGAAGATGTAGATACTATGGAAACCTTGTCTCCTGACAAAACCTTTTCTTGTCCTCATTTTTGGATTATGGCAGAAGACTTAAAATAATCTGGCTATAAAAAAATCTTTATGCACATATCAGTGATACATTAAAATGAGCCTTATTAGAAGTTATAATTACAGGAACTGAATGTTGATACAATATTGCATAGAGTTTCATCATTTCATAAATATCAAAGTCATAATGAATTTAGATCTGAGTTCCAAGCTCATATGCATAATTTAAACCTTTTCATTTTTAAATGAAAAGGTTTGGGGAGACTGCTTATTAACAACACATTTAGTCTTGACTTTTCAAATAGCATCATTGGACTCAGAGTCTGGCACAGGAATAGCACTTAAGTAATCACTGTTCCGGGAAAGATAACTATTGGGTGCATCTAAATTGATGCTAAATAGATTCAAAAGTGCTGTAAGTAAATAATAATAAAAGTGCTCTAGAATCTGTATCAAGAGTTTTATAAAATACCACTTTAATTTTAAATGCCATTTATTTTTCTTTTTAGGAAGTTTGCAGATTAGGTACAAGCTAGATAGACATCAAAATCCTGATGCATTTACCTTTGATTTTAAAAACATGGCTGATGGGCAACTTCACCAAGTGAAGATTAACAGAGAAGAAGCTGTGGTCATGGTAGAGGTAATCCCACAAATGCAAAAGTCAAACTAACTAATATTATTATTTTAAGAACAAATAATCTAATGAAAAAATTTGATAATATTAATAGAAGAGCAACCCATTCAGTGCTGCTCTTCCATAAGTCAAGAAGAAGCCAAATATGGCCAGGATCTGGGAGAGAGGAGGTGGTTGTTTATTCTGTATTGCTTTGTTTTGTTTGTTTAGCAATGCAATTCTGTCAAAGGTATTATTAATATTTTACTATTTAAAATATCAAAATATCTATTTGTTTTACTTTACTCAATAGGGGAATGTTCTCTAGTTTATCATAGTGACTGCTGGTGGAATCTATTCATTGATACTGCAGTGGGAACTTGTCTTATTCTGATTATAAAAGAACAAATACTTTAGCAACTTAAAAACACGGTTTAAAAGCACACAACATAGTTATTAAAATGGGAATAAGTAAGAAAATAGACCTGAGTCACCACAGAGGAAGTAAATTACACATTGTCATCGGCATTGGAAGGAAAATATACTGTATAGAGAACAACAATGCTTGGTTTTATGTTTCAGATTTTCTCCACAGAATGAGTACATATTTAAGTTTAAAACAACCAATTCCATCTTTTTCATGGATTCTGCCAATTATAGATCCTTCCATTATGAAGAAGAGTAAAGCCAGCAAGTGGGTACATCGTGGATAGAGTGGTAGCTGATGGCATCATAGGAATTGCTTATAAAATAGCTTCTCTTTCTAAATGATTAATTATTTGAAGGTGGCTTCTTGAGCTTTTGTAATGGTACTTAAAAGTGATTTATTTTCATCTTTCCTTTCCTCATCTTCCTTTGCTTCCTTATCATTAAAATTGTACTTTCTGTTGATGTTTGCTTCTCATGGGACATCTAATAGGTTAACCAGAGCACAAAGAAACAAGTCATCTTGTCCTCAGGGACAGAATTCAACGCCGTCAAATCTCTCATATTGGGAAAGGTTTTAGGTAAGTAGGAGAAAGAGCTTTTTCCCAAATAAGTGTCATGTCACAAACTCTGGAAGCATTCATCATGCTGAAAGAAGCTCCTTGTCTTACTTGAATAATAATTTCACAGTGAGTGACAATCAAGGTGCAAACTGTACTCTTGCCTGAGTGTACATATAATCATGACTAAGTGCTACCTGTGAGATGTGCAAGGGCGTTCCTGGAAAAATACCTCCACACTTAACCTCTCACTTGGCAATCATGCATAATGAATCACGGTATTTTTCTAATCCTTCTTGAAAAGTGAAATGTTGTCAAAGCTGACACGAAGTTCACAGATTATGTATGTATTAATCAACATCAACTCCGGAGACCATCATTCAATGATAAAACTACGTTTGAGTTGAACACAAGAGAAAAAACTGGTAATCTTATTACAGCAGATGAATACAGTTTTATTTTTCTCTCAAGCCCTGCTTTGCCTGTTGTTTCCATCCTTTTTGACTTTAGTATCTAACAGGAATGGGGAGGCATATTCATAAATATCTGTTACGCAAGGTAGAAAGTTACAGTAATTGTCTATCATATTGTCTATCATAATCTGTTGTAAAAGCACAGTTAGCTTTACATTTAATAAAGGAACTGAGGAAAGTAATCTTTTTTTAAAAAAACCCATCTTATGTAACTCAATTAAGAAAATGAACTATACTTTAATATTAGGATCAAAAAGTTGAATAATATTTATTATATACATCTTTGTTTCCTTCCAAATAAAGGAGACATGGAATTGAAGGTGTTAATGTTTTCATTCAAGGATGGTATATTCAAAGGCATGTAACTTACGGTATAAAAATCTACATTGAAATTCAGCAATGAAGTATATACTCAGAAGCAATTGATCTTAGAAAATTATAAATATTCATTTTGCCTGTCCTTGGAGGTAGAGATAATCATCAAACATTAATAAAACACTTTATACTTTGAACAACTGTATTTTAGGATTGGTTCTGCTATACATTTTTTGCCACTCTCACATCATTTAGTAATTATACCAAAACTACAATTTTATCTTTAAATTTGGAATTATATAGGAAGTGCTTTCCTTAACTTATAGTAAAATAGACCAACAAGTTGGCTAATAGAGAAGCCACTAATTTTACAAAGAAAGTTACCCAAAACACTCTGTTCTAAGTTACCAATATATTTCTCTTGAGTCCCTGTAAATCTTCGATTCATCCCTTCATTTAAAAATATTTGGTGAGTGGCCGGGTGTGGTGGCTTACGCCTGTAATCCCAGCACTTTGGGAGGCTGAGGCAGGCGGATCACGAGGTCAGGAGATCCAGACCATCCTGGCTAACACGGTGAAACCCCGTCTCTACTAAAAATACAAAAAAAATTAGCCGGGCATGGTGGCGGGCGCCTGTAGTCCCAGCTACTCGGGAGGCTGAGGCAGGAGAATGGCGTGAACCCAGGAGGCGGAGCTTGCAGTGAGCAGAGATCCTGCACTCCAGCCTGGATGACAGAGCGAGACTCTGTCTCAAAAAAAAAAAAAAAAAAAAAACTTGGTGAGCATCTGCTATGAACAGTTTATTAAGCACTGAGAAAGCCTCTGAATGAAACACTATACCTACCCACCCTCACTACACTCACATGTTAATAGGTACATAGGCTAATATATGAGCAATTCTAATAAAATAATGCTCATATCCAGCCTAATTTATTATTATGCACCCTAACAATGCCTTAGAAAAAAATGGTCCAAAATCCATCATAATTAAGATGCTGTTTCTGAGCACCTCAATATGATTTTGCCATTTCTGAGTAGTCTTAGTGAATGAAGACCATTCAGATTGATTATCACAAGATCAATTCAGAGTAAACCTATTTAAATATAAGCTTTTTAGATTTTGAATTTTCTATATAGCTTTGAATTTTATCCAAGAGGTAGCTTTAAAGAATGCAGACACCTAAAATACTTTATAATTCAGTAAAGATGATCCATCATAAATTAAGATTTGTTTTTAGATACTTTGGTATTATTGTATTCTTTCTGTTTTGCTTTGTGTGTGTACATGTGCACATGTATTTAAACACTTTTGAGATGAGTATCACTCTGTCGCCCAGGCTGGAGTGCAGTGGCGCAATCTCGGCTCACTGCAACCTCCGCCTCCCAGGTTCACACGATTCTCCTGCCTCAGCTTCCTGAGTAGCTGGGATTACAGGCATGTACCACCACGCCTGGCTAATTTTTGTAGTTTTAGTAGAGACGGGGTTTCATCATGTTGGTCAGGCTGGTCTCGAATTCCTGACCTTGTGATCCACCCGCCTCAGTCTCCCAAAGTGCTGGGATTACAGGTGTGAGCCACCACACCTGGCCCCTTAAACACTATCTTAAAAATTACATATATATATCAAAAAAACAGAGTGCAAAAATGGAAGATGCCTTTTTGTCTGCTCCCAAAAAGTAAAAAAAAATTAGCCTGTAAACAGTTGCATATGAATACAGCTGAGCTTATATACCTTAGGAGGTATACATTCTAGGCTGAAGAAAAGAAAACCCACTGAAGGACTATATTTCAAATAGAGCTCTAGATATGTAAGAATGCCAAATAGTTTTGGTAATTAAATATTTCTGGAAATTGCCTTTTGAGTTTTGTAAGGAGATGTCACATAAGACATACAGTTTTAACATTTTAAAATTCATCAACCTATGTATTTTATATTACTTCTGTGCTATGGTGTTTGTCTCATTTAGAAGAAATGTTTTATGTTGGGTCTGGGATTTGATTTTACCTGATTTACGAGCTAGGAAGTTAACAGCTTTTAACTGTTTTGTGGATGCTGTCCTGGTACAGAGACAAAGGACCCTACTACTCATGGCACAGCAAGCCTCGTGAGCAGCAGTTCATTTGCATTGTTTTCCCTTGGCCCTGAAGCCTTACGGGGCAGTGATGGGTGCAGATGAAGGCTGCACCTGTGGCCAGGTTTCCACTGCAGCAGAGGAACACTGAGTTTGGGGAATCCACCGATTTTGTAACAAGCACTAAGCAAGTCTGTTCTTTGTCCTGGAGGGGGTCATGACCTTATCCCTCAATGTTGCTTGCTTCAATTATAGCCTTGAGAAGTGGCCTGAGTAAAGTGCTGTCAGCATCTTGCACTTCTTGGCAAACCCAGCAAAGCATGAGGAGACACTCAGAGCCAATGGTGGATTGCCTCTTTCAACATTACAGAATGAAAACACCTAAAAACCCTATAAAAAGTCAAGAAGATAGGAGATTTTGTGGGTTTTTTTTTCCAAGAAAGAGCAATGATTATATCAATTAGTCCTTTATTGGTAAAATGAGGAGGCTGCACTAAGTTATCATCAAGATTCTCTTCGATAGAAAATTCTAAGATTGTTCTAACTTGGTCCATTAACCAGGATTCAGTGGGCATCACAGATGTCTTGAGATCTTTGAAAGTATAAGTCAACAAAACTAATGCTGTCCAATAGAACTTTCTGTGATGATGAAAACGTGTAAAGTCTGTGCTGTCCTATGTGGTAGTCCCCAGACTCACTTGAGATAAATGAGTTTTTAAGCACTAGAAATGTGGCTAGTATAACTGAGGGACTAAATTTTACATTTTATTTAATTTTAATTGATTTGAGTTTCTTTGTTTTTTTTTTTTGAGATCGAGTTTCACTCTGTCATCCAGGCTGGAGTACAGTGGCGTGAACTCGGCTCACTGCAAGCTCTGCCTCCCGGGTTCACGCCATTCTCCTGCCTCAGCCTCCCAAGTAGCTGAGACTACAGGCACCCACCACCATGCCCGGCTAATTTTTTTTTTTTTTTGTATTTTTAGTAGAGATGGGGTTTCACCGTGTTAGCCAGGATGGTCTTGATCTCCTGACCTCATCATCCGCCCACCTCGGCCTCCCAAAGTGCTGGGATTACAGGCATGAGCCACCGTGCCTGGCCTGATTTGAATCTCAATGGTCACATGTGGCTAGTGTCTACCGTATTGCACAGTGTAGAAGACTGTCCACTTATCTAGTCGTTTTTTCCTTTAGTTCAACCAAGTGGCACCCTTTTGTAAGGATAGACATCTGTCTATTTGGCATGACTTCAGTGGGCTGGGAAGACAACCCTATCTCAAATATTTTTTTTCCCACAACGTCAAGTGCCAGTATTTCAAATTCTGTATTAGAGATCCATTCTTTTGACTCTTCTGCCAAAATACATATGCCCCTGAAAGTGTTATCAAAAGCCATGACCAGGAATTTGTGCAAACGTGAATTTACTCGGGAGCAGGCTTTGATGGAACAGAATAGAGAATTGGAAGGGGGCTGGGTGCAGGACCCCGAAGTTGAGAAAGCCCAGAAAGGGAGGCAGACAGGTCACCATACATTTTTGATTAGAGCTATTCAGCTAAGAGAAGCAAAAGTGAAGGGTTTTGACCATGTTGCCATGTCAAGGTAATAGACAGGAAACTGTATCTACATGTCACCACAGTTAAGAGTTGAGTTCTACTGAATATTGGTTAACTGATAAACAATAAATAGTAGTGCTGGCTAAAATCTGGGAGTACAGAATCACGAGTTTCTTCCTGGATTGTGGTGTGATTGCCAGGTACACTTCAGAGTGGGCAAAGGAATGCCTTTCTTTCAGATTTTCCAGCTTAAACAAAGTATATATGGTGATCATTTTCTAATTAAGTCATTTATTAAAGATGTAAGAAAGTTCTCTGTTTCATCAGCTCCAAATTAAACAATTGCTCAAGGTTTTTATTCAGGGTTTTAAAGAGAAGTCTGGCCGGGCGCAGTGGCTCATGCCTGTAATCCTGACACTTTGGGAGGCCGAGGTGGGCAGATCACAAGGTCAAGAGATCGAGACCGTCCTGGCCAAAATGGTGAAATCCCGTCTCTACTAAAAATACACAAAAAAAATTAGCTGGGTGTGGTGGTGCATGCCTGTAGTCCCAACTACTTGGGAGGCTGAGGCAGGAGAATCGCTTGTACCTGGGAGGCGGAGGTTGCAGTGAGCCGAGATCGCGCCACTGCACTCCAGCCTGGGGACAGAGTGAGACTCCATCTCAAAAAAAAAAAAAAAAAAAAGGTCTGCCCTAAAATTATGTGATTCTTCTCTAAACTACAATTATTTAATGTAAAACCATCTTGTATCATGTCAAAAGATAAAAATACTCTTGTTAAGATCGTGTGGCAGACTTTATTCAGGACTATGGCAATAGGTATAGGAATTACTGGAATGGAGCTTTGCAGTTGGGGAAAGAGACTGAGCTCAACTTCAAATACAACAAGGAGAAGTGTGGATTCGTAGCCAAGGAGCAGAGTGGCTGGGGTGGGGTGTCTGAGTGGAAAACTACAAAATGGGAGAGTAATTCTTGCTAAACTGACTCACCAGGTTTCCTGGTGATGCCAGGCCAGTGTTGTCAGACATCACCTGCGGGGTGGTGAGAGGGATGAGAAAGGTGATTAGATATTGAGAGTGATCAGATATTGAGGGTGGGAGATTTGGGTTAAAACCAAATTGGCAGGATTCTTGCTAAGCTGGACGATGAAAGACCAAAGGTCAGGCTGGTTGAGCAGAGAGCTTAGAGTAGCCTGACCAACATCTGGTCATAGGGAGAATCTTTGTCCATCATGTCAAAGTTCTTTCTTGGAAAAAATAAATTATGTAAAGATCCTTGAACTGGAAACATCATAGAAAAATAGAAATGTAAGAGAAATTGTCATTCTGGTCAGGATCTAAATGTACTAGAGTAAAACCAAAGAAGAGTAAAAAGGGAAAAGTGAGAGAAGAAAAAGAAAAATTTCCCAAGCCTCTCATTTAGGGAAGAACTGTTGTGGGGAACCCCGCGGTGGTGTGGGAGGGAGGGTGGGGAGAAAGAACCATGCAATCGCTCATCTCACTGTTGGGAATGGGGGAAAGTTGGAAAAAGAGGATCTTGTTTTCATATAACAGTGTGAAGGCATGATTTTGATTGTGAGGGCTAGGGAAGTTGAGCTCTCAAACTCACAAAAGGGAAAGCAGGAAATAAGAAGGAAACTGATTAAACCAGCAAAATAAAAGGAAAAAAAGAAATAATGTGAAATAAATAGTGTAAGATAAAAAATAAAATCAGATATAGTGGTTATTACTCTAAAGACAAATGGACTAAATTCTGTCAAACTAGCTTTAAAATTAACAGTTAAATGCTCTTACAATATTGAAAATGAAGGGGCATGCCAAGAACTAGCAGGCAACAGCTGATAAATTTAAGAAATGCAGCACTACTTTCAGATAAGATTGAATTTAAGATTGGAATATAATCGAATCTTAAATGAGATAAAGAGGGATATTATCTGATGACAAAAGATACAGTTTATTAAGATAATATGAAAGTCATCATACAAAATAGCAACTATAGTATGAAGGATTTCCAGAGCTCTGCCCTCATCTCCAAGAGTCGCTTTTCTGTAATCCTCCGGATTATTGGCTGTGAGCGCCATTAAAATTTTATTTTAATGCTATATTTTAAAAATTAAATGGCAGAGGATTTCTTAAATTTATGCCATGTAACCGCTTTCCTATGAAGCTCTGTTACTTGCAGAGAGCCAGCCATCTGCACTTGAACGAATCTGTTAAAAACCTGCCTTTCATAACCCTGACAATGGAAATAGTTGCCAGACAGGTAAAGATTCACGGTGACCTCTCCTGGAGTGAAGGAACGAGGGGTTCGGAGGGACCTCTCCTGGAGTGAAGGAACGAGGGTCGCTGTCTTGCAGATGCGGGGTGTGCCTGCGCCCCCATCTCCGCCGCTGCGCCCTAACTGTGTGTTCCCCTTCTGTCCTCAGAGGCTGCCGGCGCGGACCCGGACACAAGGCGGGCGGCGACTAGTGGCTTCACTGGCTGCCTCTCGGCGGTGCGCTTCGGCCGCGCTGCTCCCCTGAAGGCGGCGCTGCGCCCCAGCGGCCCCTCCCGGGTCACCGTCCGCGGCCACGTGGCCCCTATGGCCCGCTGCGCAGCGGGGGCGGCGTCCGGCTCCCCGGCGCGGGAACTGGCTCCCCGACTCGCGGGGGGCGCAGGTGTGTGGCCCTCCACCCCTGCGCACCTGAAACTGCGCTTCTCTCAAATGTTTGTGAATTTCTCAAAAGCCTTCTTTTCTCCGTCTCTGTCATCCTTCTTTTTTTCCTTTTTTAAAATACATTTTTGTGATGTTCTTATTTTAATTCACTTTTAATTGACAAGTTTGCTATGTGTAAATTGTGGCGTGATTAAATCAAGCTAATAAACATCATTCTCCCTTTCCCTGTTGTAGGTCGTTCTGGACCAGCGGATGAGGGAGAGCCCTTGGTTAATGCAGACAGAAGAGACTCTGCTGTCATCGGAGGTAACAAGGCCCTGAATGACCTGGTGCTTGTCATTATCGCTTTAGATAATGATACCATTACTTAGCACAATGGGAAATATATGTAAGAATCAATACTCAATGGTGAGGTCAGAGGGGTGCTATGTATTGCGGTTGGTGGTGGTTTTTTGTTTTTTGTTCTTTGTTTTTTTTCTATTTGAGACAAGAGCCTCACGCTGTCACCCAGGCTGGAGTGCAGTGGTGAGATCTCCACTCACTGCAACCTCTGCCTCCCGGGTTCAAGCGATTCTCCTGCCTCAGCCTCCTGAATAGTTAGGGTTATAAGAGTGTGCCACTATGCCTGGCTAATTTGTTGTGTTTTTGGTAGACACAGGGTTTCTCCGTATTGGCCGTGCTGGTTTCGAACTCCTGGCCTCAAGTGATCTGCCCGCCTCAGCCTCCCAAAGTGCTGAGATCACAGGCGTGAGCCACCATGCCCGGCCTTCGTTGATTTTCTAAGGCAATATTTGCTGATTTCAGCTTCCCTGGGGGTTCTCAGCATGTAAGAATTCTGCCGAAACAATTTTTTTTGAAGAACAGTTACAAAGCTAATACTGAAAAGTTATTAATTTGAAAATAGCTGTATTCCCTAGGACATGTGGGATATTTGTCACGGTAATGACAACTGTTGGACGGACCTGAAGTAATTATGTTCAAAGCAATGGAAACCTCAGCTAATTATCAGAGCATACACTTTATGGTACTTTTCTTCAATGACAAATAGTATGATTTAGATACTCCCATGACAGTGTTTCACTTATTTAAGAAGTTTTTTGTTTGTTTGTTTGTTTGTTTGTTTGTTTGTTTTTTGAGACAGAGTCTCGCTGTGTCGCCCAGGCTGGAGTGCAGTGAAGCAATCTCGACTTACTGCAAGCTCCGCCTCCCGGGTTCACGCCATTCTCCTGCCGCAGCCTCCTGAGTAGCTGAAACTACAGGCGCCCGCCACCACGCCTGGCTATTTTTTGTATTTTTAGTAGAGGCGGGGTTTCACCCTGTTAGCCAGGATGGTCTCGATCTCCTGACCTCGTGATCCACCCGCCTCGGCCTCCCAAAGTGCTGGGATTACAGGCGTGATTATTTAAGAAGTTTTAAAGGCACACATTATTTAAAATGTGTTGTTATTTTAAAGTGTATAATTCCCTGTCATTAAGGACATTTACAATGTTGTGCAGCAGTAGCCATTGTATGTTTCACTTTTAATCATACTTTGGAAAGAACTAATCTCATAGGCTAAGAATGTTTTCTGGTTATTTTTAATTGAAGAAAAGTGAAGTTAAGCATAGCTTAAAAATATGTTTTGGCAATGAAAACTTTTTTTCTAAAATATAATTTATTTAGAGCTGGTGCAAAAAATAAGCATTCACCTTTCCTTGTTAATTAATGAGTGAATTATTGAAATCTTTGTTTGTTTGAGAGGGAGTCTCGCTCGTCGCAAAGGCTGGAGTGCAGTGGCGCCATCTTGGCTCACTGCAAGCTCCGCCTCCCATTCTCCTGCCTCAGCAGCCCAAGTAGCTGGGGATACAGGTGCCCACCACCACGCACGGCTAATTTTTTATATTTTTAGTAGAGACGGGGTTTCACCGTGTTAGCCAGAATGGTCTCGATCTCCTGACCTCATGATCCACCTACCTTGGCCTCCCAAAGTGCTAGGATTACAGGCATGAGCCACCATGCCCGGCCGAGTTATTGAAATCTTAATTGTATTCTTATTCTGCAGACTCTCCATAGCACATACAAGAGTAAACTAGTTGTGTTTGTTTCCTTCAAAATGACAGAAAACAATTTCGACATAATAAAGTTCTGACTAAATTTCAGTTGAGGATATTCACATTTCCATCACTATCTCAATTCTTTTTCTCTTAGAAATCAGTAAGGTGTAAATTAAAAATACATGACCTGATGAACAAAAACTGTTTTAAACAGTTTCCAGTGGGAATGTGGTCAATAATGCATATCTAAAAGGTGTACTTTCGTGTTCAATTTTAAATCAAATCCAATCCTAAATCAATCATGCCTTTTTAGGAGATTTTTTTCATTGCAATGCAAAAGCAATTTCAACATGCCGAACATTTTCACGCTAGGTTTCCAAGTCCTACAGACGTTTACACAATGTCAGGGTTAGTACCCAGCTTTTGGTGAGAAGGAAATGGGCAAGTTGATCATAGAACCAGCTCTTATCTTTGGAATTGTATTATATTGCTGGTGGTCAAATATCACTGGCAAGATTGACGGAGTAAACGTAAGGAAACATCTTAGCAGTGTTCTCTTCCGCTGAGAAATTCTTAGCCTGAACGAGGGGATGAAAAGGAGTCTGTGGAAGGCTTCCCCTGGGCTTTCCCAGAGGCAGTTTGCATTTTCTAATAGGGACTGGCTGAAGATATAAATTAATATTTGTGTGAAGTACTTTAAATGTACGATGTAGGCAGTAAAAGCGTGGGGGAGGAAATATAATTTCTCCTCATCATTCCTAACTTTGTAGTTGGGACAGACCTCTGATTAACAAGAGAAAAACAAGCAAGTTTACTAAGGCATGCAGCCCACAGCACGTGGGAGAAACCTCAGTGAAACTCAAAGCGCAGTGGCTTAGAAGTCTGGCTCATCTTCAACAATACATTTGTGGAGAAATGACAGGACAATGGAAAGCAATTTTAGGTGTCCGAAGGCAAGAAACCGTGGGAAGATAAATATATGGGAAGAAACTAGTGGAATACGTGTGTTTGTACATTCTTCTGCTGACATCCCTGAGCTGGTAAGAATGGTCTCCGGTAAAAGAGAATTTACATCCTGTCTTTAGATGAAAAGAGGGGAGGATCTAGAGAGCTCTTCCTCCATTGGCTGCTTCTTAATTGCCTTTACTTCAAAATATTTGTCAAAAAGGCATATTTGGGGGTGACATATTCTGATTACCTTCAGAAGCTTGTCTTTATACACATTTATTTCTTTTAGGGTAGATTTTACTTTCATTTGTCACTAATATGATTGCTTCAGTACACAGCATTCTGTGGCATGGCTTCATGCTTTAGCACTCTGGCTCTGAATTAAAGCCTGAAACAATTTATAAAGATACTGGTATCCAGGCCTTCCATTCATTTATTCTGATTTACTGACTTAGTGTGCAGCTAGAGTCGAGAATCATGGACACTGCTAATGGTTTCAATATTTTAAAACATTTTGCCCAGGTCTTTCAAATAATCCACATTCCAGGTAAAAAAAAAATGAATAAATATGCCTGCAATATTTTTGGTAATAGGGATTGATTACATATATAAGACACTACTGCGTTTGAGAAGTATATTATCGGCCGGGCGCGGTGGCTCACGCCTGTAATCCCAGCACTTTGGGAGGCCGAGGCGGACGGATCATGAGGTCAGGAGATCGAGACCATCCTAGCTAACACGGTGAAACCCCGTCTCTACTAAAAATGCAAAAAGTTAGCCGGGCGCGGTGGCGGGTGCCTGTAGTCCCAGCTACTCAGGAGCCTGAGGCAGGAGAATGGCGTGAACCTGGGAGGCGGAGCTTGCAGTGAGCCGAGATCGCGCCACTGCACTCCAGACTGGGCGACAGAGCAAGACTCCGTCTCAGAAAAAAAAGAAAAGTGTATTATCATAAAAGTATTTGAAAACAATTTCATTAAAATGTATCCATTTCATTGTACTAACAATAACATGTAATGATCTATGATGATGCAAACACTCTATACTTGTAAAATGATTTAACATTTCCCACTTGTTAACTGAAGGATGTACGCGGTCTTAGAGACATGTATGTCTCTATTCTTTTAAATCTGAAAGCATTATCTAAAACCCAATCATCATATACCTGTAGGGAAAAAGCCTAACACAGCCATATCCAAAAGTCATAGTCCGTCAGAAGTATGTTAAATGTTATAAAATTACTTGACCTCAGCATTTCTGAGTTTTGGTGTTTTCAATTTATAATATAATAGGTGTTTGGTTTATTTTAACCAAACTTAAAAAGCAATGATGTCTGCAAAGCCTCTGATTGGACCAAAAGTCACCATTTATACTCTGACATTGAGGCCAGGCACGGTAACTCACACCTGTAATCCCAACAATTTGGGAGACCAAGGTGAGAGGATCACTTTAGCCCAGGAGTTCGAGACCAGCCTGGG
The DNA here is from genome assembly GCF_000001405.40 of Homo sapiens. Classification (NCBI taxonomy): domain Eukaryota; kingdom Metazoa; phylum Chordata; class Mammalia; order Primates; family Hominidae; genus Homo; species Homo sapiens. Next base: position 39,074,234 of record NC_000009.12, on the reverse strand, counting down.
CAACACAGCAACACCCCATCTCTACAAAGAATAATTGTAAAAAGAAAAAAAAAAATAAGCTGAACGGTGGAGTGGGCCTATAGTCTCAGCTACTTGGGAGGATCAAGGCTACAGTTAGCTGTGATCATGCCACTGCACTCCAGCGTGGGCGACAGAGTGAGACCCTCTCTCTAAAAAGAAAAAAGAAAAAAAATTATGATGTTTTATTCTTTTCTCTCCCTAGGTGTGATAGCAGTGGTGATATTTATTTTGCTTTGCATCACTGCCATAGCCATACGCATCTATCAACAGAGAAAGTTACGCAAAGAAAATGAGTCAAAAGTCTCAAAAAAAGAAGAGTGCTAGGACAGCTCTAAACAGTGAGCTCGATGTGCAAAACGCAGTCCATGAAAACCAGAAAGAGCGAGTCTTCTGATTGGCAGCTGTGGCTGTCTCTATCATCGTGACTGTGGACTTCCCTGCTGTTGCCATCAGGGTGCACACAAGCAGGTGCAGTGCTGTCACCTGGCTGAAGACCTGCAGCCTCGGAGCCTCTGGGAGGTCCCTTTCTCCCTCGGTGAAACACAGTCCTCCACATCAATTTCCAAACAATGAATTAGGTATGGCCATTCATCACTGTTCAGTAGTTTCCCCGTCCAAAGGCTCTCTTCCAAAACTGCAGTTTGATCTGTGTTAATAATTGTGGGGTTTTAGATGAGAAAATGGCTATAAAGCTGTGGCCCTACTTTATTTTTTAAAAATGACAGAACTTTTGTTCAGATGTAAAAGACAAAATTGCACTTTAATGTTTTTTGTTACTTGAAAACATATCTGGGATCCCTTTTTTTGGTCCTCTGCTGATATTTATAAAACAAGAAATGCTTCTTGGACTACCTTCACTGGCATTTCCATAGTCCTGGAATCCAGAGCCAAGTGGCCTATCTAAAATTCACAGCCCTTTTATTCTCCTGTGTGATGGTTAATACAACACAGTTGAAGCCTGGAAACACTACCATTATTTTTGGTGTATTGCTTTTTCTAATTGACTGTTTTTAATGATTTTGATACATTTTAATGTTGAAATTAATATTGAATGTTAGCTATGAAATTTTAGTATTGAATTTTATAATGGAACAGAACATTGGTAGGTAACAAGATGCAAGAGGATGTCAATACAAGATTGTCTGCCTGTTTTTCTTTGTAATTTGTAATTACAGTTTTTGTAACTTGTGATTATGTTTTTAACTAAATTTACCACCAGATACAAACAATACTTCTTACACAGAGTTATCCTTTATTTATATCATTAAGACGTGAATGAAACATCATCCTAACTTACTTCCCCAAGATATTGAGAGGTCATATCTGTTTTTCTTTATCATTCATTTCTTTTTCTAAAAGTTGTTACTGATATGCTTTTGATTTCCTATGACTCTATTATGTTGTACAGAACATCTTTTCAATTTATTAAAAAAATAGCTTAACTGAAGATCACTAATTCCTTTTCTAAATTTTGAACTGCTCTAGGCATAAATATCATTGTGTATTATCCTTTCATCTAATCACTTTTGGAATGTAAACTGAAGACTGTTCACTCCAAGTTAAGTTAGCATTTACATGATGTTTATTAAATCTGCCAGTCTGATCACAGGTTTATGACCATGGGGCCAAATTCCCATAGATTACCCAAAATTGAATATGTGCAGTTAACTGGAACATGTCTCATTAAGGTTTACATACACACTAAGACAGCAAAGGATTGGAATTAACTTTATGGAGACAGTTCCAGGGACTAGTATTGAAGCAGTGGTTATTTGATAATGCATGGAACCACCATTTGGATTCAATAAACCAATTACATAAAAGCAATGATGCTACACTCTTCATATTCCAGATACCAACTGCCTACCAAGGACTAATGAGATGGTATATTTCTTCCACATCAGGGCAAGCTGAAAATATATTGATTCAGCGTTACTGTTACGTAAATGAATTTCCATCTTGTTATGGAAATTCGTATGTGTTATTTTTGAAAGAATGAATACACTCTCTGTCTTAAATCCGCTCTTAACAAATGATCTCTTCTCAGAATACTACATCTGTATTGAGAGTACAGACAGCCCATTGGTCACTGCACCTTTTGCAAGACAGCGAAACGGATGCATCAAATTGCATTGATACATCATCACCATCAATCTTTTGCACTGATTTTTAGACTTAATCTTCTTATTTGAAAATAAACTCATTTTTAAATAAAATAAAAAATATTTTAGGGAAAGCTCTATAAAATTAAAATTACAGAATTATATGCTTTTTAAAATTTATGCAAAAATGTGCAGACAAATGTATTCTGTATTGGTTTATGTATCACTTTGCCCTTGTATATTTTGAGATTATTAAGATTTGTTGACTTTTTTGGTTTGATATTTATCATCTGTTAAATTTTTCCTTTTAAATTATTAAATGCAAAGTGCAAGAAAAAGAGATAAATATTTACTGATTGCTAGATGTAAAAATATCTATGAATATATATATTTAAACTTCTGCCAAAGAGCAACCATCTAACAGTCAACTTACTAAAATCTAAATTGAGTACTTTTTACTGTTGCAGAGAATTAAGTCACTAAACGTTATTTAGATACATAGATGCTAGTTGCAAGTAACACCCTTTTGTAACATAAAAGTAAAAGCATAATAATTTCCCAACTTTTTTCTTCAAATTAAAAAAGAAAATAGCATATAATTACCATTCTTCATTTGAGAAAGCTGAAGATTCTGATGCTTAAAAACTTCAGAATTCTAATATTAAAAATAGAGTGGTTCATGTGACATTGAAGGCTTATCTCTGTAAAATAGTGACACTGGTGAGTGGTATTATCTCAATATTTTTGTCCAAATTCACCTTAGGAAATCACTGTAAATCTTCATTGTTTACTAAAAGTCATTATTACGGCATAAACTTAACATACTTTGATAGTAGTTACTACTGATACGTGACATATTCTACCCCGTGTCTCTATTACTCTGTCTCTATTACTGTGAAAAGTCACAGTAAATTTAACATTTTCTTCCAGACTGTGTATGATCTTTCATTGTAATAGAGACATGGAGTAGGATAAGTCATGTATTAACATGTAAGATTTTTTTAACCTGCTCCCTCAGTTTTATAGATGAGACAAAGATAAGGTTGTAAGAGCTAATCTCTTCAAGTAGGCAGTACTAGTAAGTTGTCATGCGTGGACTGAACTCCTGGCACTTCTCTCTCTTAACTTCAATCCATAGAGAAGCCCACCTTCCTGCCTTCCCAGTATTATTTAGCAGAGGAGAAAATCATATTAGGCTGTTTGATACTGTTTGCCTAGACTGACCAATAATTCTGGATCTTTGTTCACATCTTCTCTGAAAGAATATTTGATGGGAAATCTTTTTTATTTTTTAATTTTTGTGTACATACTAGGTGTATATATTTATGGAGTACATGAAATGTTTTGATACAGGCATGCACTGTGAAATAAGCACATCATGGAGAATGGGGTATCCATCCCCTCAACATTTATCCTTTGTGTTACAAACAACCTGATTACACTCTGTATTTTAAAATATGCAGTTAAGTTTTTATTGACTATAGTCACCCTATTGTGCTATCATATAGTAAGTTTTACTCATTCTTTCTACTTTTTTTGTACCCATTAACCTATCCCCACCTCTGCCCCACCATTATCTCAGCTGTCTACTACTTTTTTCAGCCTTTACTAACCATCCTTCTACTCTATATCCATGAATTCCGTTGTTTTGATTTTTAGATCCCACAAATAAATGAGAACATGGCAATGTTTGTCTTTCTATGCCTGGCCTATTTCACTTAACATAATGACCTCCAGTTCCATCCATGCTGTCGCAAGTGACAGGATCTCATTCTCTTTTATGGCTGAAGAGTACTCCATTTTGTATGTGAACCACATTTTCTTCATTCATCTGTTGATGAACACTTAGGGTGTTTCCAAATCTTAGCTGTTATAAACAGTATTGCAACAAATAAAAGAGTGCAGATGGAAAATTGATTTTGATGGCTTTTTTCTTTAATAAAACATTAATTTCTTCATGTATAACTGGAAGGCAAACAAATGATCCATTTGCTTAGTTTATTCTTGAATCCATAATATAAGTAACAGAAATGGATTATTAAAATATACTTGAATTTGGGGAAGAATGATATGGACACATTTTAAATCAAAACATGATGAATTGGCTGTTTAACCTACTACCTCATTGGCCAATCTGGGGCAAGATGAAAGTATTTGTAAACACTGTTTTGGCAATTATGTGTAAAGAGAGAACCAATTTTTTAATTAAAAAATTGAATTCTAAGAATTACAGAGCTTTTCTATTGGTAAAGACATTAAATATCATAGAGTCCAACGCTTTTCTCTTCCTTCACATCACTCCCAATGGATGTAGCTCAGGCTAAGTTCATTGCTGATGTGTTGTCAGAACAGCCACTCACGGTTTAAGTTGGTATACTTAAGTGCAAATGTAACCTTAAGAAGGTTACATAAAGTTGCCATTACTAGGAGTAGTAGCAGAATTTATTATGGATTAATCATATCGTCGGGAAAATGTACTGAAGCACTACTTCCTGTGGTATTTTTTTTACAAAATGATAACATAGTTTATTGCCTATAGGTTATGACCTAAAATTATATTTTTGCATTTTATTGTGCCATTATATATTTTAAAATGTGAGGTTCACATGGTTGCATTTGCTCTGTGAATAAAAATGTTTAAAATCATAAGATGAACTTTTAGATTTTGCGATATGAAAATTTCTAACTTAGCTAGCTTGTGATGGTACCTAAAAATTTAAGAAAGCCCTTAAAATAGAACCTCTGTGACTGCATGAGCACTTTGTATGACTCATATCACATTTTAACTCCTTAAGCAAGCCAATGAGGTAAAACATATAATTGTCCCCATTTTTGCAAAATTCACAAAGGCCTTCACTGCTTTGAGAAAACATTACACAGATAATTACTGACAAAAATGGGTTAGAATGCAGGTCCTGAGATGTCTAGTTCCTGACCAATTCTACAGGTTGCCTTGCTCCCATAATATGCTCCAATCTACAATGTTCATCTTAATCTGCAGTGAGTAAACATAATTGATAGCTAAATTTACTTCTTGTTCCAAATCTTTAGGATATGATTCATGTGTGTTATATACATACATATATATATGTGTATGTGTGTTTATACTTACATATATTTCTTTTTCTTATTTTACTTCTGGCTAAGATGGAGTAATAGGGAGCATATTTACCCTCTAACCCTCCTGCATGAAACAACCTCAAACCAGACAAAATATATGAAACTATGGTTTTCAGTACACTGGACATGAGGCACGGAATGTAATCCCTGAAAGACAGGAAACATAAGATGTGTGCTGTGAGTATCCCAGCTTACAACTTGAGAGAATTTGAGACAGCAGTGACAATGGAGATAGATAGCTTAAGGAAGCCTAGCAAGTCTCTGAATGGAGTAGCTGTTGCTGAGAGTTCAGGTACACGAAGGTGGCTAGAGATTGCAGGATAGAGTACCGGCGAGGAAAGAGCTGCATTGGAGAAAACTTTGCAAATCTGGAGAGGGTCGCCCTTCAGTGTGTAACAAAGTGCATGAAACTACCTGAGGCAAGGGAAAGAAACACTCAAAAGAATTACAGCGGCATTTATCAACCTTTAAAAAATTATTATTGACCTCAAGGAATCTTTTTAAACATCTTTTCTAGTCACCTCTCTATGAATTTTTTAATTTTTATTTAATTTAATTTAATTTTATTTTATTTTTGAGACGGAGTCTTGCTCTGTCGCTCAGGCTGGAGTGCAGTGGCGCGATCCTGGCTCACTGCAAGCTCCGCCTCCAGGGTTCATGCCATTCTCCTGCCTCAGCCTCCCGAGTAGCTGGGACTACAGGCACAAGCCAACATGCCCAGCTAATTTTTTTTTTTTTTTTTTTTTTTGTATTTTTAGTGGAGGCAAGGTTTCACCGTGTTAGCCAGGATGGTCTCGATCTCTGGATCTCATGATCTGCCCACCTCAGCCTCCTAAAGCGCTGGTATCACAGGCGTAAGCCACTGCGCCCGCCCTGAAATTTTAATATCGCACATGCACTGCATATCTCTTTAGTACTATACGTATATCTGGGCTTTACACAAAAAGAATATTTTTCTTCTCTTCACTTCTCCCATCCCCCCCAAAAAAACTAATTTCTGTCGTTTTGGGGACAATATTACTCTCACTGAGAGTGCATGTTCACATACAACCATGAATAGAGGTGGTTGCCATGGGCTATACCAGAAATCCCCATAATTAATAGGGCATTAGGTAGAATATTCATAGGGGTCTTGCCTCAGTCCTGGCAAGTCCTAGACCATGTATTACTATGGCGGCCCCACTGAACAAATCTTCAAAGATTTGGAAAAAAAGATCAAACCGTTTCCAATAACTAATTGGCATCTCTGAGCAAAGTTCACATGTATTTCCAGTAACATAAAACTATCCAACACCAGGCCGGGCACAGTGGCTCATGCCTGTAATCCCAGCACTTTGGGAGGTCGAGGCAGGCAGATCACGAGGTCGGGAGATGGAGACCATCCTGCTAACAAGGTGGAAACCCCGTCTCTACTAAACATACAAAAATTAGCCGGGCGTGGTGTTGGGCGCCTGAAGTCCCAGCTACTCGGGAGGCTGGGGCAGGAGAATGGCATGAACCCGGGAGGCAGAGTTTGCAGTGGGCCGAGATTGCGCCATTGCACTCCAGCCTGGGCAACAGAGCCAGACTCCATCAAAAAAAAATCCAACACCCAACGAGGTAAAATCACAATGTCTGGTATACAATAAAAAATTACCAAGTGTGTGAAGAGGCAGAAAAATAGGACCTATAATGAGGATAAAAATCAATCTAAAATGACCCAGCACATACCCAGATGTTAGAATTACTAATGAAAAATATTATGACTATATTCCGTATTTTCAAAGATTAGGATGTGACAAGAAAAGGCTTTAATTAAACTTCGAGAGATGACAATGTTAATGTATAAGATTAAAAAATACAATGGATGTAATTAATGGCAGATGAGAGTTTTCAGAAGAAAATATTAATAAACTTGAATATATATAGCAGTAGAAAGCATCCAAAATGAAACAGAGACAGAAAAAAAACAAAGAATAATCAGAGTATCGGTGATCTGTGGGACAACTTCAGTTGCCTAATCTGTGTGTATTTGGAGTTCTCAAAGGAGAAAAGAGAGTGGATGGATAGAAAAAAATATTTTTAAAAATTAATACATAAGCATTTTCCACATTTGATGCAAACTATAAACCCACAGACCCAGCTCAACATCCCCAAGTAGGGGTGCTATTAAGAAAACCACATCACAACACATCATAAGCAAATGGATCAAAACTCAGTGTGGTAAAGAGAAAAAGACAAGTCTTACACAGAGAAGAAAAACAAGGATGATACCAGACTTCTTTTTGGAAGCAATGCAAGGGGAAGGGCAGTGGAGCAACATCTTTCATGCTTCCAGTGAAACATCTTCCAACCAAAAGCAGAAAACTCTCTCTCCTAGGTTTCTATACCCAGCAAAACCGTCTTTCAAGAAAGGATGAAACAAAGATATTTTTCAGACATAGAAAAGTTAAAAGTAATATATTATCAGCAAACCTGGACTATGAGAACAGTGTAAAAGCCTTTCAGGAAGAAGGAAAATAAAGAATAATATCTTTGTGCAGATAGAAACATGGATCCACACAAAGAAATGAAGAGCACTGGCAATAGTAACACCATAAGTAAATATACAATACCTGCCCTTATTACTTAAATATCTTTTAAAGATAATTGGCTGTTTAGAAATAATAGCAGTGTCATGTGAGTTCTGCAGCATGAGTAAAAGTAAAATATATGACAACAATAACCTAGAGTAAATGGAAATATAGTTTAGTTTGTAAGGTTCTTAGACTGTGTGTAAAGTCGTATAATGCCTATTAAAAGTTGGCTATTACAAGTTATCTTTAAGTTAAAACATCTGTATGGTGTAATCCCTAAAGCAAATGCTAGAGTAACAAAAACAGTGATAATATTACAATATTACACAATAATATTACAATGCAGCGATGAAATAGAATAAATTTTTAAATGCTTGAAAGTAGACAAAAAAGATGAGAAAGAGGACAAAGAACAAATGGGACAAATAGAAAGCAAATAGCAAGATATAAAATAAAAATCTGATAAATTTGACCTTAAGATTAACAACTCTCCTTTTAAAATACATTGTTAAGAGAATAAGAGTCAAGCTACAGACTGGGAGAAAATATTTGCAACACTTTATTTGAATGCTGTAAATTTTTTTCAGAATATAGTTCATAAAGAACTCTTAACAACTCAATAATTAGCAAAAATAAAATGAAAATAATGAATATAAGAAAAAATGACGAAAAGTGCTAGGCCAGTGGACAAAAAGCACACAAAAATGTTCAATATCGTTTTGTCATTAAGGAAATGCAAATTAAAACCACAGTGAGTTATTCTTCCCACTAAAATGGTTATGATTAAAAATATTGTCAGTACCACGTGTTGTTGAGAATATGGAGCAATTATAATTCTCATACATTATTGTTGGAATGTAAAATGCTACAACCACTTAGGAAAAATTGTTTAACATTGTTTTATATAATTAAGCATACATGAAACCTATGACCCAACAATTCCAATCCTAGATTGAAAAGAAATGAAAACTTATGCCCATTATAAGACTTACACAAGAACGTTTATAGCATCTTTACTTATAATATCCCCAAACTGTAAACTGCCTAAAAGACCTTCAACAAGAAAATGGACAAACAATTTGTGTTGTATTAATAATGAAATACTCTTCAGCTATAAAATGGACAAAACTACTGGTAACTGCAACAAACATGGCTGAATCTAAAAAACCTTGTGTTGAATGAATAAATCTAGACACTATAGGGTACATTCTGAAGTCCTAGAACAAGCGAAACTAAGATATAGCAGTAGAAATTGTATCAGTAGTTACCTGGGTTGAGGTGGGATGGGAGTTGACTGCAGAGAAACACAAGGGAAGTTTCTGGAGTGATGGAAATGTTCTATGTCTTGATTGACTATGGTTACATTGGTGTGGACATTTGTCAAAACTCTGAATTTCATATTTGGAATTTGTATATTTTGTATATAAATTATACTTCAATAAATATGTACATGTATATATATGTGTATATATAATACATTTTGATATGTCATGATGTCTATCACTTCACAGCATATTATATTTCTATCATACCATATTTACATAATGGAAAAAGATGAAAAGGATGCTGTATTTTGGGGAAATCACAAGAGATTATCACCTTTATTTATTTTTTATACAAATACATATAAATCTTTCACAGTACAATACAAATGTCAAAATGTGGTATTTTCATTGCTCTATAAATTCTTATATGTTCTATGTATGTAATAAATGTTAAAAACAGTGTTTATATGTTGTATATGTTTATTTGTTCTATGTGTTTACATGTTCACTGTTCTATAAATTCTCATATATTGTATACTATACAATCAGGTGATGAGCTGCTCAGTAAATAAGTGCTGAACACTCTGCATCCCTCATCACGTCAAGCATTTCACATCCCTTTTCCTGTAGGCTTCCACAGTAGACATTTGACTTGCCAATTACATTTTCATCCATCATTCTGGAGAAGCCTGGAGAAACAGCTAGACACAGGGGACATACTCCTATACCTTGCTCATTGTGCCTTGGAATTATACATATTGAAATATTGTAAAGATTTGCTTCATTTGTATCAACATGGCTGTGAAATTAGATGTCAACTCTACCTCAGTTCCAACTTTTAGGAGGAATCCAGATAGTTTATTAGAAAATAGAAGTGCAAAAATGTTTGCTGTTTGATTCTCAGACCATAGCCTGAGATTAGCAATATTAAAAAAAAAAATAGCAGACAGAAGAGGCCCAAGTCTCTCCCAGCTCCTGGGATGCATGGAAGCAATGGGCTGTGATGTCCTACTGAGGTAAAAGAAGTAGTGTTTGTTATAGTCCCACGAGCAGAAGCAGTAAGAACTTGAGGTAGGGTGCACCTAAAACTGAGAACAAGGGAAAGCTGAAGTAGGAAGTGTCACCAGGGAGGGACTATGGGTCCTTACTATGCGAAGAGAGAAAAGGATTTAATTAGGTCCAACAGAATATAATGCCATTTCAAAAACATTTTCTGTTAGGACAGTTTCCAGAGACTCTAAGTGGTTGTTTTTTGTGTGATGATTTTTGAGCTTGGTAGAATTTTTCTAGTCTGACTGGATCAGTTCTAGAAAGCTGCTCAGATGAATATGCAATGAATGCTTTCTCTCTTCACATACTTCTCAGTTAGAAGGAGAATATTTCAGGCCAAAAGGATGCAAGACCGTAGTTATATATGCCACAATCAGATCAGTGATTTTAATTTGCCCACCCTAAAGAAATATGAGTATATACCACTCTAAAGAAATCTGTCTTTCTAACATGTCTATCACTTTCTTCAATGATTCCATAGCAAACAGTTAATGAAAAACAACAATAATAGCACATGTATTAATCTTCACCACTTGTAATTTTCCAAGGAATTTAGACAGATCTATTGCAAAAAAATTCATCAATTCTTATGTTCTTTCCAAATAGTTTTTGCACTAAATGATATTATTCAACATTTCTCCATGTCTACCTGTACCTTCAGACCCTCACTAAATCCAATTAACCAAAACCCAAATTGGTTAGTGATGTTAAGCATTTTATGTCATATATGTCTTCTTTTTATTTTATGCTTATATGTCTTCTTTTGAGAAACATCTGTTCATGTCCTTTGCCCAGTTTTTAATGGGATTTTTTTTCTTACTGAGTTGTTTGAGTTCTTTATTAAAAAAATGCTCAGTATCACGAATCATCGGAGAAATGCAAATCAAAACCAAAATGAGATATCATATTACACTAGTCAAGATGGCTATTACTAAGAAGTCATAAACAACAGATGTTGGCAAGGATGTGGAGACAAAGGAACTCTTATACACTGTTGGTGGAACTATAAATTAGTAAAAACTCTAAGGAAAACAGTATGGAGATTTCTCTAAGAACTAAAAATGGAACTACCGTTCGACCCAGCAGTCCCACTACTGGGCATCTACCCAAAGGAAAAGAAATCATTATATTAAAAAGACGCCCACACTTGTATGTTTATTGCGGCACTATTCACAATAGCAAAGTCATGGAATCAATCTAAGTGTTGCTTGGATAAAGAAAACTTGTGGTAAATATACACTATGGAATACTATGCAGCCATAAAAAGAATAAAATCATGTCCTTTTCAGCAACATGGATGGAGCTGAAAGCCATTATTCTAAGTGAAGTAACTCAGAAAATTAAATACTGCATGTTCCCACTTACAAGTGGGACCTAAACAAAGAATACACATGGACATAAAGATGGAAATAACAGACATAAAATAGGCCTTTTTCAGCCGGGCGCGGTGGCTCAAGCTTGTAATCCCACCACTTTGGGAGGCCGAGGCAGGTGGATCACGAGGTCAGGATATCGAGACCATCCTGGCTAACACGGTGAAACCCTGTCTCTACTAAAAATACAAAAAAAAAAAAAAAAAAAAAGATCAGCCAGGCTTGGTGGCGGGCTCCTGTAGTCCCAGCTACTCGGGAGACTGAGGCAGGAGAATGGCGTGAACCCCGGAGGCGGAGCTTGCAGTGAGCGGAGATCGCGCCACTGCAGTCCAGCCTGGGCGACAGAGCGAGACTCCGTCTCAAAAAAAAAAAATAAGCCTTTTTCTTTAACCAATACAACATCACTATTTCTACTGCAAGTGTTTCAAAAACATCTGTGCTATTTTGAAATATACCAAGTTTAAAACTGTCACAAGAAAAATGTCTTTGCGGCCGGGCGTGGTGGGTCACACCTGTAATCCCAGCACTTTGGGAGGCCGAGGCGAGCGGATCACGAGGTCAGGAGATCGAGACCATCCTGGCTAACATGGTGAAACCCCGTCTCTACTAAAAATACAAAAAAAAACAAAAATTAGCCGGGCGGGGTGATGGGCGCCTGTAGTCCCAGCTACTCGGGAGGCTGAGGCAGGAGAATGGCGTGAACCCTGGAGGCGGAGCTTGCAGTGAGCCAGGATCACGCCACTGCACTCCAGCCTGGACGACAGAGCGAGACTCCGTCTCAAAAAAAAAAAAAAGAAAGAAAGAAAGAAAGATAAATGTCTTTGCTATCTTTCCCAGGTCTCCAGCTGCCTCCACACTGGCGTAAGAAACACTGGAGGAAAAATGACCGCCTCACAGTAGTTTAAGCTGTTCTTTTGCCCATAGATGTACACATTTAAACTTGCTCCTAGCTCTCCAAGATCGCTTATTCGCTGATATGTTGCAATGACAACAAAATACAACTTCTGTTTGATTAAAAATAAAAGCAAGTAAAACATGTTTTCCCTCACTGGGTTCTGAGTTGATTAAATCCAGCTTATCATTGATGTTTTAAAATTGAGGTTATATTATATAGTTTAATTTTCAAAAGAGACTTTGATATATGGAAAATGTAAGCCAAGGAAAATAAAAATATGAAAATTCAGAAATACCATTGCTAGCTCATCACATATGTTTATTTAAATTTGGTTAGTATGCTGGAGAGAATTTGGGATTGAATTCAATTCTTTGTGCTATATACAAAATAAATTTACTAGCAGTTAGATGGAATTGGCTTAGAAACCTAATCCTATATGTAAATATTATAAAAAATTTTAATTCCAAAGTAGCTCAATAAAAAGAACTGGGCTTTGAAATCAACATGCTGGATAAATAGACAACTACTGTAGTTAATTCTAAATAAGCATCCTTACAGCAAAGAGATACACATTTTTACAAGGCTCTTTCTCTCAACTTTGGAAATAACAAGTATCTTTAAATTGCCATTGTCAGTATCTCTTCAGTAGATGCCCCTTGGCAGGGTGTGCTCTGCACTTCTCCGCTGTGATTATGTCTAGAGGAATTGCATCAGGATGGACAAGAATGGTTGTGTGGAAAAAGAATTTAGATTTGCTGTGAAAAATGGACTCCACAATGGATCTTCTGGGTTGATTAGTTAAGCAATTGAAACACGAAACCCAGTGATTTGAAATAACAAAACAAATTGCCTAATTTAGAAATATAATGAAAACACATATATTATTCAAAGACATGTTGCAACAATAGATGGCTAGCTGATGACTAGTTTTTAGTATTTGTAATATAGGGTGTATGTAATTTCTTTTTGAATTTAGCAAAATCCCAGCTTTTTTATATGGTATCTGAGTAAGGAAGATAAACATCTTTTTTTTTGAAATGGAGTCTCGCTCTGTCACCCAGGCTGGAGTGCAGTGGCGTGATCTTGGCTCACTGCAACCTCCACCTCCCAGGTTCAAGCAACTCTCCTGCCTCAGCCTCCCAAGTAGCTGGGATATCTGTATTGGCCAGGCTGGCCTCAAACTCCTGACCTCGTGATCCACCCGCCTCAGCCTCCCAAAGTGCTGGGACCACAGGCGTGAGCCACTGCGCCCGGCCAACATCTTTTTATAGTTTCTGATTTCCAATGTACAATTAAACTCTTGGCTATTAGGAGCATCTATACATCCCCCAACTCAGAGTAACCACTTTAGCTATTCTTAGCCAGTGAAGCCAAAGAACACAGAAGACTGCGCTCCTGTTCTAGTTCTTTTATGTACCTTGTTTTAAGTCTTCCTTGTTCCCCGCTCCCTCTCACCATAAGGACGTGGCTCTGCTGACTTTTCTCTTTAAAACTCTCTATCCTACCCTGCTCCATTCACCTCTTTTATACTAATTAAAGCCTCCTCTTCCTTCTGATCTCAACTTAAGAGACACTGTCTTGAGGCACCTTTCCTTAGCCTTCCAAATCTGGCTCTTTCATAAAACCATCCTACAGATCATCGTTCTTTTTCATCAGCATGGTTGTCTCAATTTGATGACTGATGTGATGATGTGACCGGTGCATGTCTTCAGTGAACTGTCGGAAAGCAGAGCTCGTGTGCACTGGAGAGTGTATTCCTGTGAGTGTATTCCTGTTCCCTTCCAGGTGCGTGTGGATGACCCAGCAGCCAGGTCCAGCACTGGCCTAAGGCTCCAAACTTCTACAGTTAGAAAATTGGCAAAGATACTGATTTAACTTTGGCGCGTTTGTTAGGCTTCTTCTTCTTCTCTTTTTTTTTTTGGATAACACTTTAAATAACATATGATAGAAAATGAGAAGAGTTTAAGGAAAATAATTTTATTAGTGTTTGTGGCCCTTAATGACTTAAGCCCTAAGTAGGGACTTCATAATTTCAAACTTTCAAAAATGTCTTGTAACATGCAGTAAAATGTGTCTTATTCATGAGAGTCATGTCTATTCTAGGCAACTGTTCTCAGTTTCCATGGACAGAGGAAAAATTAGACGTACATATGTTTTATGGGGAGGAATTTGGACTAAACATAAGAAAGAATTACCTGGCCAGGAAGTTGTTGTTCACTATTACATTAACTCATTTTACAGGAATAAAGGAAATAACATGATTTAGGACAAATGTAACCCAGAAAGAGATAATGAATCAGAAGCCCTCCAAGGTTCCTTTGAGATTTGTTTAGCATATGATTATGAGATTTGGTGAAAGTATGTCATTCCCAGTAAGTAGGTGTAATTTAAAATATGTAAGAAGTTCTACATATGTGCTTGGTAATTTTAAGGGTTATTATATATAATCATTACTGAGATCACTACACAGCTATGTCCTGCCAGTAATCCAAAAAGAAAAATCATTCTAGTTGTCATCAATTATATAAGATAATAAAAATAAACTTAAAGTCTTAGGCAATATTTTAGATTTTGCTCAGAAGTACATTTCTTTGTGTTATAATTAATGACCCTCTATGTGTGATTATTCAGATTATTGAAAGTCTTAGTATTAATCATTCATAATAATTAATTTTAAATATTTGAGTAGTCAGTTCTAAAATAATTGAAATCATTAAAACCTGAATGTTATTAAATCAAAATGACTTAGAAATAAAATAATATTATTAAAATAAGGAATTAAAGACTATAAATTTAGACAATGGGGAAATTAGCAGAACCACTTCATGTCTTTGCCTTTATTTGGTAAAGGATAGACTCTTTCATCCAATAACTTTTTTAATTACCATAATTTTGAAAATGTGGGACTTTTTCTTACATCTTACACAGTATATTGCTTGTCTGGCAAATTGAACACGTGGAGAAAAGAAATATCTTTGTCAAAATGAGCGCTTTATGTAGGACACTTTACATTATATTATAAAAATACATTAATAAATAGGTCCATAGTCTGTAGAATATATAATAAATATCCTGAATTAGTTCTTAAGACTAATGAACTTCTTTTGTCCTAATTTTTTTTTTTTTTTTTTTTTTTTTGAGACGGAGTCTTGTTCTGTCACCCAGGCTGGAGTGCAGTGGCCTGCCTGATCTTGGCTCACTGCAAGCTCTGCCTCCCGGGTTCATGCCATTCTCCTGCCTCAGCCTCCCGAGTAGCTGGGACTACAGGTGCCCGCTGCCACGCCCAGCTAATTTTTTGTATTTATAGTAGAGATGGGATTTCACCATGTTAGCCAGGATGGTCTCGATCTCCTGACCTCGTGATCCACCAGCCTTGGCCTCCCAAAGTGCTGGGATTACAGGCGTGAGCCAACGTGCCCGGCCTTGTCCTAATATTTTTATCCGGCAGATGCTATACTTAACACAGCATTGGATTCTTAATGCCATTTGCAATGTAAAATAATAACACCAAACCCCAGTTTTGAGGTGAAATTAGTATAAATGAAGGTACATGGAATATTTGAAATATAACTGCTAATTTCAGCTTATTATTAATTATATATAGTTATTTTAAAGAAGAGCTGAGACTAATAATTTATCATCTCAACTAAGAATGAAGGATGTTTTAAATTCTGCTACCACCAAAGTAAAGTTTTCTGATTTGCCATCTTCTACTAGGGTCCTCCTTGTCTTCAAATTATACCCACTATGATAGTCCCCTTATCATAATCCAGTGGAAAGGGACTGGATTTTACTTTCTCTAAATTGCTAACATCTAGACAGTGGTGTACCACATTTAAATAGCATTCAGTAAATAGATAAATGCATGCATTAATAAAACATTAATATGTCCCCGTTTTTGGCAAATATCTAATAGAAATGTGGAAATTTAGAGGAAGAAATCTACCCTTTGGAACAAATATAATTGGAAATAATAGTCTTTGGATATCTTTATATGGTAATCATAAAATCTCGGGAATTGTCTTAAATGATTTGCATAGATTAAGTCACTGAATCCTCACAGCAACTTTGTGAAGTGAGTTCCTAATATTCCCATTTTATAAATGAAGAGACTGAAGCAGAATTAGTTTAAATAACTTCCCTAGGGTCATTTGTAATCAAACAATCAATGGGCTTGCTACCCAATGTGCATAGAGGCCAATACCATGGCACAGGCTTGAGAAAAGAGAAGCTGTATTGCTGGTTGACTGGCAAGGAGACAGGAGAAAATGCTCAAATCTGTCTCCCTGAGCTGGGGGCTGAGTTGGGTTTTATAGGAATAGGGTAATGAAGTGTTATCTGATTGGGTCTTGTGATGAGATGATGCTGGGAGGCATGATCTGACTGAATCCTGCCATGGGGTACCACAAGGGCTCCATTTGATTGGATCCTGGATCTTGCCATGCAGTGTCCCCTTTTTAATTCAGTCCCACTTCTTGGGCTGAGCACTTAAGTTCCGCCCATCATTGCAAGTTTGGTTCATTTGGGCATGTTCAGGTTATGGGACCTTCAGCCTGGGAGTCCATGGCAACTGAAAAACTATTCATAACTTTTTTACATAAAAGTTGAAGAACCAGACTGGTTTTGTGTGGTTACACATTCACTTAATAAATGACTGAGCTGGAATTTGAACTCAGGCAGTCTGGCTCTTGTCTGACTCCAGCGCCCAATCTCTTAGCCAATATGCACTATTGCCTGTGATAGAGATATTATTTTTGGTTATTGGGATAATGACAGCCAAGGGAATCTACAGAGTATTATTCCACAAAAATAATTCAAAATACAACCAGGTACGGTGGCTCACGCCTGTAATCCCAGCACTTTAGGAGGCCGAGGCGGGTGGATCATGAGGTCAGGAGATCAAGACCATCCTGGCTAACACTTTGAAACCCTGTCTCTACTAAAAATACAAAAAATTAGCCAGGTGTGGTGGTGGGCACCTGTAGTCTCAGCTACTTGGGAGGCTGAGGCAGGAGAATGGCGTGAACCCAGGAGGCGGAGCTTGCAGTGAGCCGAGATCGCGCCACTGCACTCCAGCCTGGGCGACAGAGCGAGATTCCGTCTCAAAAAATAATAATAATAATAGTTCTAAACACATAAAATTTCTCTATAGGATAACTTATTATTTTCTTAATGCTTGACATAATTTATGCCAAATAAGCTCAGTGGTTCAGCAAAAATATTCAGATATTAAGAAATACCATAAATCATTTAACACTGTGTTAAATACATATAATTTAATTGTCCAAAAGTATTTTCCTGAGTGAAAAAATGATGGTGCAAATTTTGGATATCATAAGACAACTTGAAGAAGAGTAGAGTGCAGAAAGAAGTTATATTTTAGGTGGGCTAGAATAACATAACATTTATGCAATAGCCCCAATTTGTGATATAACACTTCATAAAAATGTTCAACAGTTTACAAGTGCTTTATCTGAAAACAATGGAGAATTAATAGCATAAACTGGGAAACTTACTTTATGATTAACAAAGTTTTTTTAATGAAAATGATTAAAAGTAGACTAAATTGTTTTAAGTATTTCTTTTTCATTCAGCATTCAATTGCCAAGTCATTTCATTCACAGTTTTTAAGGATGTTCTGAAAATTCTGCCATAAGACCCAGGAGATGAAATTATTTGCCAAATGTTGATGTATTATGGGAAAAAATGACTCTGTTTACAACTGTAGCCATGTGAAAATTAAAGTTATTTAATCCCAATTTCAATTAGCCAATTACGAGACAAAGGCAAAGAACTAGTGAAATACTACAAAACACTTTTTTGATATATTATACAATTAAGTTATCATTTTGCTCCAATGGATAAGAATAGGGTTGCCATAGGGGTTCATCCTGATGCTAGGAAGCAGACCATAAAATCTAAAATTACTGGTAGAATTTATAGAGCATAGACTCTGACATTAAGATGTAACACAATTTAATTGAGTAGCACAAATATAATTGTCTTGCCTCATGGCTAAGTATCTCTGTAGAACTGCAATTTTAAAAAATGAAACCCAGCCAACAAAGGCAAGTAAAAAGTCCATAAGACTTATGAACTGTGTCAAAGTGAATACAATAGAAGACTCTCAGTCATAATTCTTTAAATCCTTCTAATTCCTTGATATTCAATATCTTTAATTGCCATAAGGCCCTGAGGTTGCTCCCTCTTAGCTCTTAAGCTGACCTCCTACTAATATGTAGCTCTTTGCTGCTTCTCCCTCTTGGTCTTTATTTTCTACAAGCTGACCTCTCAGCCCTTTTCAAATGAAAATTGATCAATTGATCCTATGCTCTTAGAAAACCTGCATCTACTTCAACCCCTTCTCCTGGTCCTATACCTCAAAAGGCCAAGTTCTAGGGGTCTGTAGTCTCTAATAGTGTGATGATATGGCTACCCTGAGAAGCAACATCTCATCCACGAAACCTTGATCAGCATTTTTCTCTGCAAGTGGCATCGCAGGATTGTGAATTGTAAACAGATAAAAGGATTCTTAGTGGTACCTCTGTCAAGCTCATTACACATTCCAGAATCAATCAAGTCTCCTGCTAGCATTTGAAGAATATCACCAAAAAATTGGTAGCTGCGTTGTTTCCTTTGGACATGCAAGTAGATAACTATCAGTAACTACCAATAATAACAGCCAGTCAGCTCAGGCTGCTGTAATAAAATAGCATAGATTGGGCCGGACGCCGTGGCTCACACCTGTAATCCCAGCACTTTTGGAGGCCCTGGCGGGCAGATCACGAGGTCAGGAGATCAAGACCATCCTGGCTAACACGGTGAAACCCAGTCTCTACTAAAAAAAATACAAAAAAAATTAGCCGGGCGTGGTGGCGGGCACCTGTAGTCCCAGCTACTCAGGAGGCTGAGGCAGGAGAATGGCGTGAACCTGGGAGGCGGAGCTTACAGTGAGCTGAGGTCGCACCACTGCACTCCAGCCTGGATGACAGAGCAAAACTATGTCTCAAAAAAAAAAAAAAGAAAAAGAAAAAGAAAAAATAGCATAGATTGGATGGCTTTAACCACAGACATTTATATCTCACAGTTCTGGAGGCAGAGAAGCCTACAATCAAGGTGCTAGTTCATGATCAGGCCTGGCCCCTCGCTTGTGGTCAGCCTCCTTCCCATTGGGCGTCACGTGGCCTTCCCTGAGTGTGTGGGGGATGGCGAGCGATAAGAAGATCTCTGGCTCCTCGTCCTATGAGGACACTAATCTCCTCATGAGGGCCTCCTTCCAGGATCTAACCTAAACCTCATGACCTGTCAGAGGCCCCATCGCCAAATACCATCATATTAGTGGCTAGGGTTTCAACTTAGGAGTTTTAGAGGGACACAGCATTCGGCTCATAACAAACTGTAAATACAGTCAGCTTCACTAGATCACATTTTCTATTTTGAGAGCCCATTTTGAAAATTTTGAAAGCTTTGAGATTTTGAATATGATCAAAAGTACTGAGAACAAAGAAAATTCATTTGGAAAGACAATTGGTAGTCTGCTCACAAATGAATAATCTGGGACACTTAATAATATATCTGAGTTTTGTTCTACGTTAATGAATAATGTAGGTCCTGGCATCATGGAGAATAATTGCACTTTGCTTCTGCAAACTCCTAATAAGTGTTCCGCCAACAGGCAGGAAAGTAGGGTTTTCTATCGCAATGAAATCTGCAGCTTTATGTCTTTAATCGCTGTGGTTTCATAGGAAGGCAGTTCTTTCTATAGGATAAAACTTGAAAAACATGACTGCATTCAGATTTAAGACAAAAAAAAAAACCTAAAATGGAAAGAGTATTAAAACCATGTCAAAGCATATGGTATTGATGCCTCAGTGTTCCCCAGTGTTCCTGAGTTCAACAGAAAGTTCTAGTAAGGTTGACAGATTTCCATCTCAAGAGTCTGCCTTGTCACTGTTCCCAGGGAAGAGTTTTGCATCGAAGATTGGACACATGCAAAAACAACCCAGAATTACATGTGTGTGGCAGGAAGAGGGGACAATGTCCCTGGAGGCGACATCCAACAAATGCGGGATAGCAATCAGTGGACAGGAAGATTCTGAGACACGTTCCATGGGCTGTCTCAGAGAGTCCCCAGAGGGATTAGCTACATAGCAAATAATACCCCACAGTGGTGACTTTTCACATTATAATTTGCCAATGCGTTTATTGAATCCTTTTATCTGTGTCCTCCTAATATGCTCTGGGAAAGAGGTTGAGGTGGCAAATCCCCACAACCCCATTTGAGTTTTTGATAGAACAGCTGCTGTCCACTTCTGATCAACTGAGGCCCTAGAAAAAGCATGTAAGTCCTACTCCCTCACACTTCTGTAGTGTCACATGTATTTGTCCTTATAAACCTGAATCAATCTGGAAATTCATTGCCAAACATAAGGATTCCAGGAAGTCTAACTTTATCTAAAGGACTTTAATGAAATTAATAAAAAGTAGAAACTTTTAAAAATATTGATCTGTAAACTGCTTAGGACAAAATATGTATAAAACTAAACTGAACTATTAAACTTTACATTAAAATCTAGGGAGTAATAAACATCATTTACTATTTAATTTCTCAAATGGAAGTGACATATTGTCATTGATTCGCAACAGTGAGTGTGGTATCAGAATCGTTTCTGGAATCTTTTCAAACTATACCTCCCTGCTGGAAATTCTGTTATATCCTCAAGTTGTGTTTCAGAAGGCAGAAACTATTTCCACAGTGAGGCACTATTTCGGATATATCATCCCTCAAGAGGAATATGTACAGGGAAAAGAGAATATGTACACTTGATAATGAATATATGTTGTCTGATTTAAAAAGTGTGCAGGTTATTAAGTTGGTAAATTAAAGATAATATATTTACCCATTATTTGTTAGTAAAGGTAATTATTTCAAAATTAGAGTTAAAAAGTTTAAATTTATCACCTATTTGAGTATGTTTAACACACACACACGTATATGTATATATATAATTATATCAAGATTAACAGCTTATAAAAATCATTTCGAAATTTTGGTCTTCAAATATAAGTTGTGTGTTTTGGTCAGGATCTTCAATCATTTATGGCAAAGGTTTCTCACTTCTAAGACTTCCTCTTGCTTTGTTTGTTTAAAGTATCATCGCCTATAATAGGTATCCGAAACTAATGTCTAACTTTTGCTGTAATTTCTAGTTTTCTCTAAAATTCTGGGTCTTCCTTTTTTCTTTTCTTTTGTTTTCTTTTCTTCTTTTCTTTTCTCTTCTCTTCTTTTTCTTCCTGTCTCCCATTCTTCTTTCTTTTTGTTGTTTTTGTTTTATAAATTTAAGTTATGAATTCATGGGAATAAAGCTGTTAAATGTTGTTCGTATCTAAAGGTCTTTGGGGTTTCTCAGATAGCTACTGGATAATGCTCTACTCACATTATTCAAGAAGAAATTTGTAAAGTAATTAGATATGTTTGATACTGTCTATATTCTGATTATCTCAACCACTGTATGAGGTCACTAGATCCCATGCCCCAGAGCCTCTGTGCTGTGATTTAGATGCCCAAAAGACTGTGTGTTTGTTAAGCGAACATTACAACAACCCCCAAGTTAGGCACTCCTTTTTTTTTTCTAATTCTCCCAACTTTTATTTTAGGTTCAGGGGGTATATATGCAGGTTTGATACATGGGGAAATTGTGTGTCATGGGGGTTTGATGTGCATATTATTTCATCACTGGAGCAATAAACATAGTACCTGATAAGTAGTTTCTTAATCCTCACTCTACTTTCACCTTCCGCCCTCAAATAGGTCCTATGTCTTGTCCCCTGCTGTGTGTCCATGCATATTCAATGTTTAGCTTCCACTTATAAGTGATAACATTTGGTATTTGGTTTTCTGTTGCTGTGTTAATTCACGTAGGATAATGGCCTCTAGCTGCATTCATGTTGCTGCAAAGAACATGATTTCATTCTTTTTTATGGCTGCGTAGTATTCCATGGTGTATATGTACCATGTTTTCAACTGCTGATGGTCATTTAGGTTGATTCCATGTCTTTGCTATTGTGAATAGTGCTGCAGTGAACATAGATGAGCATGTATCTTTATGATGGAATGACTTACAGTTCTTGGGGTACATACCCAGTAATGGGATTGCTGGATAGAATGGTAGCTCTGTTTTAAGTTCTTTTATAAATTGTCAAACTGTTTTCTACAGTGGCTGAACTAATTTACATTCCCACCAGCAATATGTAAGTGTTCCTTTCCTGCACGACCTTGCCAGCATCTGTTATTTTCTGACTTTTTAGTAATAGCCATTCTGACTGACGTGAGATGGCATCTCATCGTGGTTTTGTATTTCTCTAATGATTACTGATGTAGAGCGTTTTCTTCATATGCTTGTTGGCCATGTGTATGTCTTCTTCAGAAAAGTGTCTGTTCATGTCTTTTGCCCACTATTTAATGGAGTTGTTTGGTTTTGGCTTGTACATTTGTTTAAGATCCTTATAGATTCTGGGTATTAGACCTTTGTTAGGTTCACAGTTTGCAAATATTTTCTCTCATTCTGCAGGTTGCCTGTTTATTCTGATGTTAGTTTCTTTTGCTGTTCAGAAACTCTTTAGTTTAATTAGGTCCCATTTGTCAATTTTTGTTTTTGTTACAATGGTTTTTGGCATCTTAATCATGAAATCTTTGTCAGGCCTATGTCCAGAATGGTAGTTCCTAGGTTTTCTTCTGGGGTTTTCATAGTTTTAGGTTTTACATGTAAGTCTTTAATTCATCTTGAGTTGATTTTTTTATATAGGATAAGGAAGGAGTCCAGTTTCAATCTTCTGCATATGGGTAGCCAATTATCCCAGCACAATTTATTGAATAGGGAGTCTTTTCCACATTGCTTGCTTTTGTCAACTTTGTTGAAGATCAGATAGTTTTACATGTGTGGCTTTATTTCTGGGTTTTCTGTTCTGCTACATTGGTCTGCTATATGTGTCTGTTTCTGTACCAGTGCCAAGTTGTTTTGGTTACTTTAGCTTGATAGT
This sequence comes from Homo sapiens, assembly GCF_000001405.40. Lineage (NCBI taxonomy): Eukaryota > Metazoa > Chordata > Mammalia > Primates > Hominidae > Homo > Homo sapiens. Next base: position 39,050,813 of record NC_000009.12, on the reverse strand, counting down.
ATCATTTGAAGTTGGGAAATGTGATGCCCCCAGCTTTTTTCTTTCTGCTTAGGATTGCCTTGGGCTCTTTTTTGGTTCCATATGAATTTTAGAATAGTTTTTCCTAGTTCCCTGAAGAATGCCTTTGGAAGCTTGATAGAAATAGTAATTAATCTGTAAATTGCCTTGGGCAGTATGGCCATTCTAACAAAGGTGATTCTTCCTATCCATTAGCATGGAATGTTTTCATATTTGTGTCCTCTCTGATTTTTTTCAGCAGCGTTTTTAATTCTTGTTATAGAGATCTTTCACCTCCCTGGTTAGCTGTATTCCTAGGTAATTTTTGGTGTGAGTATTGTAAATGTGATTGCAATCTTGATTTGCCTCTCACCTTGGATGTTGTTGGTATGTAGAAATGCTACAGATTTTTGTGGAATGATTTTGTATCCTGAAATTTTGCTGAAGTTGTATATCAGATCAATGAGCTATTGGGCAGAGACTATGGGGTTTTCTAGGTGTAAAATCATATCATCTGCAAAGAGAGATAGTTTGACTTCCTGTCTTCTTGTTTGAATGCCTTTTATTTCTTTCTCTTGCTTAATTGCTTTGGCTACGACTTCCAGGACTGTGCAGAATAGGTGTGATGTGAGTGGGCCACCTTGTTTTCTTTCAGTTCTCAAGGGAAATGCCTCCACCTTTTGCTTGTTCAGTATGATGTTGGCTGTAGGTTTGTCATAGATAGCTCTTAAATTTTGAGGTATGTTCCTTCAATATCTAGTTTGTTGAGGGTTTTTAACATGACGGAATGTTGAATTTTATCAAAAGCCTTTTCTGTGTCTGTTGAGATGATCATACGGTTTCTGTTTTCAGTTCTGTTTATGTGATGAATCACATTTATTGATTTGCATATGTTGAACCAGCGTTGTACCCAAGAAATAAAGGCTGCTTGATTGTGGTAGATTAGCTTTTTGATGTGCTGCTGGACTTGATTTGCTAGAATTTTGTTGAGGATTTTTGCATCTGTAGTTCAACATGGATATTGGCCTGAAGTTTTCTTTTTTTGTTGTGTCTCTGCCAGGTTTCAGTGTCAGAATGATGCTGGCCTAATAAATGAGTTAGAGAGAAGTTCTTCCTTCTCAATTTTTGGGAATAATTTCAGCAGGAATGGTACCAGTCTTCTTTGTACATCTGCCTGAATTTGGCTGTGAATTTGTCCGATCCAGGGATTTTTCTGGTTGGCAGACTTTTTATTACTGATTCAATTTTGGACCTTGTTATTGGTCTTTCAGGGTTCAATTTCATCCTGGCTCAATCTTGGGAGGCTGCATGATTTCAGGAATTTATCCATTTCTTTTAGGTTTTCTAGTTTATGTGCATACAGGTGTTTGCAATTGTCTCTGAGAGTTGTTTGTATTTCTGTGGAGTCAGTGGTAATGCCCTCTTTGTCATTTCTGACTGTGTTTATTTGAATCTTTTCCCTTTTTTCTTTATTATTCTAGCTATGGGACTATCAATCTTATTTATTATTTCAAGTAACCAGCTGTTGGTTGCACTGATCTTTGTATGATTTTATTCACATCTGGATTTCATTCATTTCAGACCTGATTTTACTCATTTCTTTTCTTCTACTAGCTTTGGTATTGGTTTGCTCTTATTTTTCTAGTTCCACTAGGTGTGATGTTAGGTTTTAATCTGAGATCTTACTAACTTTTTAATGTGAGCATTCAGCACTATAAACTTTCCTCTTAACATTACTTTAGCTGGGGCCGGGCGCGGTGGCTCAAACCTGTAATCCCAGCACTTTGGGAGGCCGAGGCAGGCGGATCACAAGGTCAGGAGATTGAGACCATCCTGGCTAACATGGTGAATACAAAAATACAAAAAAATTAGCCGGGTGTGGTGGCGGGTGCCTGTGGTCCCAGCGATTCGGGAGGCTGAGGCAGGAGAATGGCATGAACCCAGGAGGTGGAGCTTGCAGTGAGCAGAGATGGTGCCACTGCACTCCAGCGAGACTCCGTCTCAAAAAAAAAAAAATTACTTTAGCTGACTCACAGAGATTCTGGAATATTGTATCTTTGTTTTCGTTAGTTTCAAGGAGTTTCTTGACTTCTGTCTTCGTTTCATTGTTTACCCAAAAGTCATTCAGGAGCAGATTGTTTAATTTTCATGTAATTTTATGGTTTTAAGATATTGTCTTCATATTGATTTTTACTTTTATTGCACTGTGGTCCAAGAGTGTGGTTGGTATGATTTTGGTTTTTTTTTAATTTGTTGAGAATTGTTTTATGGTTAATCATGCGGGCAGTTTTTTAGTAAGGGCCATGTGCAGATGAAAAAATATATATAGTCTGCTGTTGAGTGGAGCATTCTGGAAATGTCTGTTAGGTCCATTTGGTCAAGTGTTGAGTTCAGGTCATGAATATCTTTGTTTTCTGCCTTGATGATCTGTTTAATACTGTCAATGGGGTGTTGAAGTCTCCCACTATTATTGTGTGGTTATCTAAGTTTTTTCGTAGGTCTCTAAGAATTTGTTTTATCAATCTGAGTGCTCAGTATTGGGTGCATTTATATTTAGGATTGTTAAGTCTTCTTGTTGAATTGAACTCTTTATCATTATGTGATGCCTTTCTTTGTCTTCTTTTTGGTTGTTATTGGTATAAACTCTGTTTTATCTGAAATTAGAATAGCAACCTTGTTTGTTTTTGTTTTATATTTGCTTGATAGATTTTTCTTTATTCTTTTACTTTGAGCCTATGGGTGTCATTGCATGTGAGATGGGTCTCTTGAAAACTGCATGTCATTGGGTCTTGCTTTATTCAATTGCCACTCTGTGCCTTTTAAGTATGGCCTTTAGCCCTTTTACATTTAAGGTTAATATTGATATGTGCAGATTTGATCCTGTCATGTTGGTAGTTGGTTGTTATGCAGACTGGATTACATAGTTGCTTTATGTCGGTGGTCTATGTACTTCAGTGTGTGTTTGTGGTTGCTGGTAACAGTCTTCTGTTCCCATGTTTAGCACACCCTTAAGGATCTCTTGTAAGGTGAGTCTGATGGTGGTGAATTCCCTTAGCATTTGTTTGTCTGAAAAGGATCTTATTCCTCCTTTGATTATAAAGCTTACTTTGGCTGGATATGAAATTCTTGATTAGAATTTCTTTTCTTTAAGAATGCTGAACATAGGCCCCCTATCTCTTCTGGCTTGTATAGTTCCTGCTGAAAGGTCTGCTGTTAGCCTGATGGGGTTCCTTTTTAAGTGACCTACCCCTTCTCTCTAGTTGTCTTTATTATTTTTTCTTTCAGGTTGACCTTGGAGAATCTAATAAATATGTGTCTTGGGAATGGACATCTTGTGTAGTATCTCAAGGGATTCTTTGCATTTCCTGAATTTGAATGTCGAGCTCTTTAGCAAAGTTGGGGAAATTTTCATGGACAGTTATCATCAAATATGTTTTCCAACTTGCTTGCTCTCTCTTCCTCTCTTTCAGGCCAATGAGCCATAGAATTGGTCTCTTTACATAATCCCATATTTCTCTGAAGTTGTGTTTATGCTTTTTTATTCATTTTTGTCTGATTGAGTTGATTCAAAGATCTGGTCTTCAAGTTCTGAGATTCTTTCCTCAGCTTGGTCTATTCTGCTGTTAACAATTCTGATTGTATTATGAAATTCTTGTAGTGAGTTTTTCAGCTCTGTCAGATGGGTTTCATTCTCAGAACGGTGATTTTGTCGTTCACTTCTTGCATCATTTAAATAAATTCCTTAGATTCCTTTGATTGTGTTTCAACTTACTCCTGAAACTTGGTAATCTTTGTTCCTGTCCCAATGCTGAATTCCATGACTGTCATTTCAGCCTGATTAAGAACCACTGCTGGGTCATTTGGAGGTAAGAAGACATTCTGCTTTTTGAGCTGTCAGAGTTCCTGTACTGGTTCTTTCTCTTCTGTGTGGGCTGATGTTCCTTTAATGTTTGAAGTTGCCGTCCTTTGGATGGGGATTTTCACTTGTATATTCTTTGATTCCCTTGGGGGTTGACTATGGTATAAAGTGAGTTAAGTGAACTGGTTTCATCTCTGGAAATTTTCAGGGGGCCATACCTGGGCTGTGTACTCTTACCCTGGAAGGTGGTACTAGGCTTCCAGCTTTGTTCTCTGGCCCCTCCAGGTTAAGCACCTGTTGCAGGAGGTGCTTGGAGGAGCCAAGGTGTTCCCAGTCCACTGGCAACAAGACTCTGATGGGGAGTGCCAGCCAAAACACTTCACCAGGGTAGTGACAGTAGGGTCCACATTGGCTGGCATTTCTAATGAAAGTAAACCTTCTCCATTATTTGTGCATAGAGATAACATTTTGCTTTATGGTTTAAAAATTGATCACAAGCTCATTACCTACATTAACATTTCTCTTGACCTTGTGACTACGGTTTATTCACTTTGTTTAGTTATAGTGGTAGCCCAGCTGATAAAGTCTTAGCAGACTTCCCTCAGCTCACTCTGCATAGGGTCTTTGACAAGAGTGTCATTAGTATAGAACAACACGTGGCACTTCTAGGAAAACAACATCATTGCTTATATAATCTTTTGTTGGCTACTTCCCCAGAAAACCTTTAAACTCTGCTACTAACTAAATCTAGCTACTGATTGAGGGAAGCAGTCTACCATGAGCCTTGCGTAGTTCTGAAGGTTCTTGCTGGGTATGTCAAGAATGCAAGTCTCCTTACTTCACACCCATTAGGATAATTAATATCAAATGAACAGAAAATAACGAATGCTGATGAAGAGGTAGAGAAACTAGGGCCTTTATGGTTACTGGTGGGAATGCAAAATGATAGAGTTGCTGTGGACCAGAGTATGGTGATTTCCCAAGGAATTAAACACAGAATTACCATATGACCCAGCAATTCCTCCAAAATTAATTTCAAGCAAGGACTCAAACAGATATTTGTACATCAACATCCATATTAGCATTATTCACAGTAGCCAAAAGTAGAAACAACCCAAATATCCATTGGCAGATAAAGAGATAAAATGTGGCATAGACATAGAGTAAAATATAATTCATCCTTAAAAAGAAAGGAAATTCTGCCACATGCTACAATATAGATAAATTTGAAAGACCTTACACTAAGTAAAATAAGGTAGACACAAATGGAGATATATTTTATGATTCTACTGATATGAGGTACCCAGAGTAATCAAATTCATAGAAACAGAAAGTAAAATGGTCATTGCCTGGGGCTGGGGGGAGTAAGGAATTGATAATTAGTGTTAATGGGTACAGAGTTTCAGTTCTGCAAGATGAAAAAAATTCTGGAGATGGATAGTGGTGATGATGGCACAACAATGTGAGTGTGCTTGCCACTGAATTGTACACTTAAAGTCATTAAAATGGTAACATTTCATGTTATGTTTATTTATCACAGTAGAAAATTTGAGATATGTAGATGTAGACAAATAAGAATAAATACCTGTGTCAAAAGGGAAAAAAATTTAAATGCAAGGCTCTGAATGCTCTTTTTCCATACCATTTCTCTAGGTTGTATTTCTAGCAGCAACCTTGAGAGGTGAAAAAATGTTTCCCTTTGGAACGTTAAGCAGACTTGTCTACTGCTTAATGTAAAAGCAGTACATCCCCCAAGCTCAGTGTTTCTTTGCTGCAATACAAATTTATTATAGCATGTTCACCATTGACTTGGGTTCCTCTGCTTTATCCTTGTGAGATTTGGGGGACAAAGTTGACTGATACAACATGACACTCACATTAGCAATGCCGTGAGTAATGAAATGTTTGTCTCTGATCCAGGACTGTTGTGTCTTCCCCCTATTCATGAAACAGTAACAGACTAACTTATTAGCTTATAAATGGGGTAAAATCTCAGACACTACATTTCCTTGTTAATATAGGTGACTGTTATTTGTGTCTACCAACTACTGAAACTTTAATCATGCACTTTTGGGACTAATGTTCCTCTACAGAACCTTGATGTAATATTAATGTGATCCAGGTATATATTTTACAGTATAGGCTATAATTTTTGGATATCTGTTATAGAATCTGCCTTTTTACCAATGCTTAGTTCTTCTCAAATGGTTAAACTGATAGGTCTAGTGTAAGCATACAACCTTGCTATAGCTTTAAGGCTTAGCTACCACAAGTAGAGTAGATATTCCTCTGAGACTTTTTATGAATCTAACAAGCTATGATAACAAAGGAGTTCTCTAATTTCGTTGGGTACTTCAATCAAACACTGAAAATGATTAATGACTTTGAGGGCAACACAATATTCAAAATGAATCTTGGTTATTAAAATTATAGGCTATAATTTAGTTGATATATTAAAAACCACAGAGAACTTTCTAGATGACTACTGTATAAAAGTAGAAGCCCTTATTGGTTTTTCCATCAACTGGTAAAACCAGTTGCTGAAACTGATTTTATTAATCCAAAATACTTATTCATATTTCAAGAAAATCTCAAAGAAAATTTCTTGGAAATAATTTATTTGTACTTAGCATAACCAAGGATCAGTTACCAAAGTGTAAAGTTTTAAAAGTCATTTACCAAAGAAGAAACTTTTCATTTTAATTAAAGCTTTCGTTTGAGCTAAAGTTCTACTCCTAGATAAAATGTTAATGTGATCTTGTCCCAAATTTCTCATAAACTCTCATTTTGTAAATGTTACAAGAAGGTACGTGACTCTTGGCTTGAATCCTGCTCTGACAGATTCCATATCATTGAATTTGTATCCTGTCAGTATTTACAAAATTAATATATGTGCAGTCATGTGCACAATTAATACAAAATGTATTTCCAAGAGGGATATGATTGGATGTATCCCTCCAAGATAATGAGTTTATTGGAAGAAACACACTTAGCATTAGAACTATGCTATAAAAAGCCATTTTGATTATTTTTTTAATCGCAAAGAATCTGTTTAAGCTCTATGAAAAACACTAGAGAAGACATGGTTCTAAGGATAAAAGTGTTTAGGGTCCTATAATCTGGACATCCAGACCCATGTTAAATCTGACCTAGAGGCCTATTAAAAAGCCTCCAGAAGCAGACAACTTCCAGTAGACATATTCCTTCAAGAGTCTACATATCAGGAAGATGACATTAAAAGTATATTCAGTCATATGAAGCTTTCACTCAAGATATTTCAGGTAAAACTTCATGATCAGAAAAACATGCCCTTATTTTGATTCTATTTTATCACTTGGATACCCCTCTTTGTCTCACTTTTTTCATTTTTTCTTAGTTCAAGGTATTAGGCTATGAAAATTGAAATCCCAGTCATTTTTCTCATTTTCTTGACTAATTTCATTCTGATAAACCCTGTGAACTCATTGCAACTTTCCAGAATATTACTAATGCTAAAGCATCTAGACGTTATGGCTAAAATGCAGGTCCTCAAAATTAGCTGCAGTTGCTGATATTTTCTAGAGCCTCATGAGAAAGATAATGGCATATGGAATTAATGATAAATTATGACCAATTATTTTCTCATAAAGCTACACAGAAATCATTGCATGCTTTTTCTAAACTCTGGGATTTTATTCTGAATACAAAAATTAATTAAATTCAGGTGACATTTGATAAATAATTGTGACTATGAAAAACATACTTGTGTCTCCACAAGATATACTCTTGGAATTATTATTCTTATGAAGAAATCATGATTTTCTATAATCATATTCAAACATAAACATTGTTTTGGACATCGTATTCTGGCCTTTCCATTTACTGAAACAAACCATTCAGTTGCTCATATTTTATTGAATCAATGTGGTAGTTTATAAAGAGGGACTCAAGACATCAGAATTTATCATATATATGTACATGTATACATATACGCTTCATTTTGTGTGTGGGTATATGTGTGCTTGTGTGTGTAGGTGTGAGTGTTTGTGTGTAGGTGTTGAGAGGTGACAGCGTGCTGGCAGTCCTCAGAGCCCTCGCTTGCTCTCGGCACCTCCCCTGCCTGGGCTCCCACTTTGGCGGCATTTGAGGAGCCCTTCAGCCCCCACTACACTGTGGGAGCCCCTTTCTGGGCTGGCCAAGGCCGGAGCCCACTCCTTCAGCTTGCAGGGAGGTGTGGAGGGAAAGGCGCAAGCGGGAACCCGGGCTGCATGTGGCGCTTGCGGGCCAGCTGGAGTTCCGGGTGGGCATGGGCTTGGCGGGCCCCGCACTGGGAGCAGCCGGGCAGCCCTGCTGGCCCCGGGCAATGAGGGACTTAGCACCCGGGCCAGCGGCTGCAGAGGGTGTACTGGGTCCCCCAGCAGTGCCGGCCCACCAGTGCTGCGCTCGATTTCTCGCCAGGCCTTAGCTGCCTTCCCACGGGGCAGGGCTGGGGACCTGCAACCCGCCATGCCTGAGCCTCCCACCCACTCCATGGGCTCCTGTGCAGCCCGAGCCTCCCCGACGAGCACCACCCCCTGCTCCACGGCGCCCGGTCCCATCGACCACCCTAGGGCTGAGGAGTGCGAGCGCACGGCGCGGGACTGGCAGGCAGCTCCACCTGCAGCCCCTGTGCGGGATCCACTAGGTGAAGCCAGCTGGGCTCCTGAGTCTGGTGGGGAGGTGGAGAGTCTTTATGTCTAGCTCAGGGATTGTAAATACACCAATCAGCACCCTGTGTTTAGCTCAAGGTTTGTGAATGCACCAATCGACACTGTGTATCTAGCTGCTCTGGTGGGGCCTTGGAGAACCTGTGTGTGGAAACTCTGTATCTAACTAATCTGATGGGGAGGTGGAGAACCTTTGTATCTAGCTCAGGGATTGTAAACGCACCAATCAGCGCCCTGTTAAAACAGGCCACTCGGCTCTACCAATCAGCAGCATGTGGGTGGGGCCAGATAAGAGAATAAAAGCAGGCTGCCCGAGCCAGCATTGGCAACCCGCTCGGGTCCCCTTCCAGACTGTGGAACCTGTGTTCTTTTGCCCTTTGCAATAAATCTTGCTACTGCTCATTCTTTGGGTGCACGCTGCTTTTATAAGCTGTAACACTCACCGTGAAGATTTGCAGCTTCACTCCTGAGCCCAGTGAGACCACCAGCCCACCGGGAGGAACGAACAACTCCAGACGTGCCACCTTAAGAGCTGTAACACTCACCACGAAGGTCTGCAGCTTCACTCCTGAGCCAGCGAGACCACGAACCCACCAGAAGGAAGAAACTCCGAACACATGTGAACGTCAGAAGGGACAGACTTCCAGATGCGCCACCTTAAAAGCTGTAACACTCACCGCGAGGGTCCGCGGCTTCATTCTTGAAGTCAGTGAGACCAAGAACCCACCAATTTCGGGCACAGTGTTAGTGTGTGTGTGTGACTGTGTGTGTGTATGTGTGTAGGTGGGTGTATGTGTGAGTATGTTTGTGTGTGTGTAGGTGTTTCTACCTTATCCAAGTTGTTTCCCAACTAACATGCATGATCCATAATTTATCCTTGACTATGGACTCCGCAGTAAACAAAGCACCTCAGGTTTTAGAAACTCAACAGAATAGCAGCAACGTGTTGACTAGGATAGTCCTAAGTAATAGATAATTGGCAATTTAATGTCCTTCCAAGAGAAAATCTTTACCATACCTGAAATATCTGGAACCTGAATAAACATTAGGTAAGTAAAATTGATTTATTCGATCTTAGGAGTTATTTTTCTGGCTAAGCTAAACCCAAGAAAAACAGATGCTAAGCGAGCTTCAAATATTTCTTAAAATACTTGGGATTATTCCCAAACTTTTTATCTTTTTTAACCTTCCCATTATCTTGATTCCTTTTTTTTTTTTTTTTTGAGATGGAGTCTTGCTCTGTCGCCCAGGCTGGAGTGCAGTGACGCCATCTTGGCTCACTGCAAGCTCCGCCTCCCGGGTTCACGCCATTCTCCTGCCTCAGCCTCCCTAGTAGCTGGGACTATAGGCGCCTGCCACCGCGCCCAGCTAATTTTTTTGTATTTTTAGTAGAGACGGGGTTTCACAGTGTTAGCCAGGATGGTCTGGATCTCCCGACCTCGTGATCCGCCTGCCTCTGCCTCCCAAAGTGCTGGGATTACAGGCGTGAGCCACCGTGCCCAGCCTATCTTGATTCTTATATCTTGCTTCACAGCCATAACCCTGACCTGACATTCAACTCATAATACAGTGTTGAAGAAAAAAATAAAACCTCTATAGGAAAAATCTGTTCATCTGGGAGCTGGATTTTAACCAAAGAAAACAGAGATATAAGATATATTTTAAAGGGATATGATGCAGTCTGATTTAATTGTGTGCAGAGTGGCAATAGAAGGAGAGTGGCACGTAATGCCTGGACACAGTTTGTCCCAGCAGAACTGTCGAGCCTTTTCAGATAATCTAGAAATAACTGAAAGTTTTCTCTGTTGACTATCCCAGAGACTGATCCCTTAGTGTCCCTCTTGTCAGTCAGTATACTCAGGATAAAGAAAACTAAACTAATTTTTCAGACTTTTTTTTTTTAAATGCCTCTGCCCTTTTGTTTTATAAATCCAATTTTTATCTCTGATAACAATCTATTGATTGTTCTCCCACATATATTAAAATTGCTTGTTGATAACTAAACTGACATGGAGTTATTTTTGACAACACAAAAATGTAGAGTACAATACAGTTGCATTTGAAATCAATAAGACAAGTGTAGTCTATTATTATTTAGGGGCAAATGTCTGGTTTGTTTGATAAAAGTAATATTAGACTCCTACCTCCCACAATTTAGATATACAAATTGCAGGTAAATTTTTATAATTTTACATATATTTGTCAGAAGAAAACAGAAAAATATAATAAAGTTCAAATACAAATTATAAATCTTTATGCCATCTGTCCCGCCAATTAGAAAAAAGTCATAAAATTAAATGAGATGTTGAGTGGAGGACTGCCTCAATACTTTCTGCTTAAGATGTGTGTCTAAGACAAAATGGTAGCTAAAGATAGAGATAAAAAGGGTTACTGTGCATATAATGAAGGACAACTTACAGCATTTAATAATAGATTTAACCTGCAGAAAACACACATCAAAGTTAATATTTATATTCACAAACTTGGTGATTGAAGGTATTGTGAATTTCACACTATTTGAATGTAATGGCAGAGTTAAGAGATTATAAACCAGTCTGAAATATTACTTAAATGTGACTGTGTCTCATCTGCATGCAAATAGCAGTTATTTTTTACATTCCTCTTTTTTATTTTTCTAAGGCCAGAAATTAAATATTTATACATGTAAGAACTTGCTTTTTTCCCTTAACTCTCCAAGAGTATTCTTATCTGGTTTTATTAGAATAATACGGCCTCTGGGAGCAAAGATACCGCCTAGCACTCAGCACTGGAAGTCAAGGTGGAGAATATTTCCAAGGCAACCATGACCTTCCCTTTGGTGCTATGTTACACAGTTTGGAAGGTAATTCAAACAGTACATAACATCAGCATGCTGAACATCAAGAACTTGGCTTCATTGAAGGTGTCAGGCAGGCTGCTGGCCAGGAAAGCCAAGATGAAGCTCCCCAGTGCCAAAAAGGTCAAGAATCCCAGAACAGAGTGGAAGGCAAAGAATACCTCATCATTGAGAGTCCTGATGGCACTCTTTGATCCCATGCCAAATTCCAGAGAGTTACTTGGATAAGGAAACAGATGAAAATAACTGTGCTAAATACTCCCAGTCCCCAAAACCACTTTGGCTTTCTCTCTGATGCTGTAGCCTTACAGGCTATAAGCACAGTGATAGTTTTAGCTAACGCAGTTGAAACAACCACAGTAAAAATGATTCCAAATGTTGTCTGTCAGAGGATACAAGTGACTGTGTTTGTACAGCCAGTGAAGAGCAAGGAGCAGAAGAAAACAGACAGAGAGATGTCGCTGAGAGTCTTGACTATGAGTGTGTGTATGTGCTTCACAAAGATCATAAGAACCATGGCTGTATTAGTCCATTTTCACACTGCTGATAAAGATATATCAGAGACTGGGTAATTTATAAAGGAAGAGAGCCTTAATGGACACACAGTTCCAGGTGGCTGGGGAGGCCTCACAATCACGGCTGAAGGTGAAAGGTACGTCTTACCATGGCGGCCTGCAAGGGAGCACGAGAGCCAAGCGAAAGGGGAAACCTTTTAATAAAATTATCAGATCTTGTGAGACTTAGAACAGTATGGGAGCAACTGCGCCCATGATTCAATTATCTCCCACCAGCTCCCTCTCACAACACGTGGGAATTATGGGAGCTATAATTCAAGATGAGATTAGGGTGGGGACACAGCGAAACCATACCAATGGCAGTGAGGACAGAGAAACAGAGAGCTATGCTGGCCAGTGCTGTCCCCAGTGCATCTTCAAAATCCAGGAAGGTCACAACTCTGTGAGGCAGTGATCTCTCTCACTGAATACTGGTTGTCTGGACATTTTGCACATTCATTGGAGTCTGATTTTAAAAAGTCAAAAGCTTATTGTCTCAAGTTCTGAAATGCTTCCTTTTTTCACAGGACTAAACAATGTTAACATTAGTCATCTTAAAGCACATTGTCCACCTATTCATATTTCATGAAATTATAAGATGCTACAAATTAACTCATTCCAGTTTAGCAGTATTTATCCCCCTTGTCATTTGTATGAAGAAAGATTTTTTTATCTTTTACATAGATGTGCATGCTACTCCTATTTTTTATCTGATGATGAGACCATTACAATCTTTAAGACATTCCAAATATCTATTTGGCAGGCTAAGCCTTAAATGTATTCATTTATACAAGAAATTTATTCGTTTACACAAGAAAGCTTTAACTGGCGAGCCAGACCCTTAGTTGAATTCTAGAAATACTGCAATGACCAAGGCATACTGCTTTTTTCAAAATTAAAAAAAACACACCCTCAAACTCCCATTAGATTGACCATGAGACATTAAGTTGCACTGGTCCAGAATCTGGGCATTACTCATGATTTTTTACTTCACAAAAAAACACAACTAATACATCAGTGAATCCTCTTGACTCTCCCATCAAAATACTTCCTAATTCTAATCACTTCTTGTCACTTCCACTTGGCCGTCCTGATCTAAGACAATGTAATCTCTACCTAGATTATTGTAATAAACCCCAGTGGCCTGCCTACTTCCAATTCCCTGAGTCAACTTCAGTCTATTTTGCAAAAAGCAGGCAGTTACTCTTTAACAATCAAATCATTTAACTGCCATGCTCAAAGCTTTCCAATGGCTCTTAATTACACTTTAAATCAAAATTTTTATCATGTTTCTAAATCTCAGACCTCACCTCCTACCACAATTTCTTTTTGCTGTATTTTCCAGCCATCCACATTAGCTGCCTTGATTTACTTTCAAGTTTACAAACTCCTGCCCCAAGGCCTTTGAACTTCTAGTTCTTTTGTCTTGAATATTCTTTCCTCAGAATGTAACAAGACTCATTTACCTACTAATAGTTTTGATATTTGTCTCCTTCAAATCTCATATTGAAATATGATCCCCAATGTTTAAGGCAGGGGCTAATGGGAGGTGTCTGGGTCATAAGGGTGGGTCCCCCCTGGATGGCTTGGTGCCTTCCCTCCAGTAAGGGGTGAGTTCTTGCTCCATTAGTTCATGAGAAAGCTGGCAATGTTCTACTGATTAGAACATTAAATGTATCACATGAATGATCACATGATTGATAAATGAGGGAAAGAATGGCACTTTGTAGGTCTAACCCAAATCCTAATCAATTTTTGTATTAATGGGGACGCTGAAGAACGGCTAGAAACAAATTGTTTGTTGACCTATCTTATTGGAAATCTTACCCTCTAGGTGCTGAGTTCAAACAACATACAGCTTTTCCTTCCTGTGGGGATTTTCTAAATTCTGACCCATAGCTGTGGCTGCACACAAAGTAGAGAGCCTGAAGAAAAGAAACTGGGGGTCGGTGTTCCTCATATATTTAGAATAGATGAATTATAAAATTCCAAAATTAATAATATTGTATTAATTTAAATATTATGATGTGTAATACCTTTTAGAACTATCTGAAACATGCATACTAGAAAATAAAAATTAAGTAGAAACAAAAGCAATGTTTTTGATAAAGGTAAAATAAAGTCGCTGGGGGCAGTGGCTCACACCTGTAATCCCAGCACTTTGGGAGGCCGAGGCAGGTGGATCATGAAGGTCAGGAGATCGAGACCATCCTGGCTAACATGGTGAAACCTCGTCTCTACTAAAAATACAAAAAATTAGCCGGGCGTGGTGGCAGGCGCCTGTAGTCCCAGCTACCCAGGAGGCTGAGGCAGGAGAATGGCATGAATCCGGGAGGCGGAGCTTGCAGTGAGCTGAGATGGGGCCACTGCACTCCAGCCTGGGCGACAGAGCGAGACTCCGTCTCAATAAGTAAATGAATAAATGAATAAATAGAGTCACATTTTTGCATTAAAGGCAAATATCCAAATAATCTAAATTATGTCCACACAAAATGGATAAGCAAGGTGATTGAAAGCCGTATATTGATTAATTGTCCAAAGGATGTATAATGATGCTATCTCTAGTATAATAACAATAACATTGATAACACATATCCGGGCACTCAAGACATTTTATTTTAAAAACTAGCCTAGGCTACTCCTACTGGTGATAATTAGATCAGATATGCAGAATACGAAACAATTAGAATTGGTAGATAAATACAACAAAAGCTTACAAACCTAGCCTAGCTCCAATAATCTATGAGAAGCCTCAAGGAAAAAAATAAAAAAGGAACAGAAACCCAGAACGGGAAAGCTGATCAGCAAGCAAAAGCTATCCTCACAATGTTTGCTAATTAAGATGATCACGGTCACTTGTGTTTTAATGACCAAAACCGAGGGGACAGGAGACAAGACCTTAGGCTTGAGACAATCCATAGAGCTACAACTATTGAAGGCCCACTTTCTTTTTCTTTTCTTTCTTTTTTCTGCGCTCTGTCACCCAGGCTGGAGTGCAGTGGCACAATCTTGGCTCACTGCAAGCTCCGCCTCCTGGGTTCACACCATTCTCCTGCCTCAGCCTCCTGAGTAGCTGGGACTACAGGTGCACACCACCATGCCCGGCTAATTTTTTGTATTTTTTTAGTAGAGACGGGGTTTCACCGTGTTAGCCATGATGGTCTTGATCTCCTGACCTCATGATCCACCTGCCTCCGCCTCCCAAAGTGCTGGGATTACAGGCATGAGCCACCGTGCCCAGCATGAAGGCCTACTTTCATAGGGAAATGATCTAGGAAAAAGAAAACAAAAAAATCTTCTTGCCAGTGAAAGGAGATAAGTTCTCAGCCTCAGTTTGGAGTCTGGGTGGCAAAAGAGAAAAATGTCTCTTCTGAGAAATTTTTATTCAAAAACTTGTCTTCATACTGGTTTGGGATTTAATTTTAAATGTATTTGTATAGTCAAGGAAAACTTTAAGTGCATAAATTAAATGTCTTCTGATTATTAACAACTCAGGTGCTTGGATGAAACACAGGCAATCCTGTAAGAGGGACTGACCCTCGAAATATTTATTACTCACCATGAAGTTATACAGACACTAAGACCAAATGAACATGTAAACCACACAATGAAGAGTCAACATAAACAACAAACAACAAAATGCAACCAGAAGGCATTTTAGACCTTATAATTTTCAGATATAGGATCAAAATATGTATAGGCTTAAACTCTTTAAGGAAACAAATAGGGTGTCAAATTGTGAGCAGGAATTGGGAGATGAACAAAATCAATCAGCAAGATTCTTAAAAAAATAAAAAATATAAATATAAACATTAGAATTATGGGATGAGCTAATATGCATGTTAATAGCCATAGCAATGCTATCAAACAAAGCCACTTCCTCCAAAAATGGGGTCTTTACTTGTTCGGTGCTGCAAAGGCAATACACAAAACTGAAGGTGAGCACCAAGCAGTGCAAGCTTTACTTGATGGCCGTGGACTTGAGAAGGAGAAGCATGGCTCACAAATCACTTCTCGACTAATGAGAGGTGAGGAGGTTAAAATAAAATACAGGGTTTCTCTAATGAAGGGATTGGACATTAAAAGCAAGGGGAAGAATATTCATGCATTTTCCAGGAATGAGCAGCAACTTCACAGAACTCCTAGTGCCACCTTCCTTTTTGAACTTTTATGACTTCTGGTCAGCGTCATGATGATTGTCAAGTGTCATGACACCAGTGGAAGTGTCTTTTTTTCTTTTCTTTCCTTTTTTTCTTGGCGATGGAGTCTCACTCTGTCACCAAGGTTGGAGTGCAGTGGCACGACCTGGGCTCACTGCAACCTCCGCTTCCCGGGTTCAAGCAATTCTCCTGCCTCAGCCTCCCAAATAGCTGGGACTACAGGCGCACGCTGCCACGCCTGGCTATATTTTTTGTATTTTTAGTAGAGATGTGGTTTCACTGTGTTACCCAGGCTGGTCTCGAACTCCTGAACTCAGGCAATCTGCCCGCCTCGGCCTTCCAAAGTGCTAGGATTTCTTTTCTATTTTAAGAGATGGGGCCTTGCTCTGTTGCCCAGGCTTTAGTGCAGTGGTGCAATCATGGCTCGCTGCAGCCTTGAACTCCCGGGCCTAAGTGATCCACCCCCTTTAGCCTTCTGAGTAGCTGAGACGATAGGTGTGTGACACCACACTTGGGTAATTTAAAATTTTTTTTTTTTTTTTTTTTTTTTTGTGGAGACCAGGTCTTATTCTGTTGACCAGGCTGGTCTCAAATTCTTGTGCTCAAGCAATCCTCCTACATTGGCCTCCCAAAGGGCTCGGATTACAGGGATGTACAACCATGCCTGGCCAGGAGTGCCATTTAGCATGGAAATGAGATTATAATGAAGCCTGAGGCTTTAGCTATCCTGGTTCTAACAAGTGTCAGTGGGTCTGGTTACAAAGGGAACTTCCTAGAGCAAGTGTCATGTTTTTTAAAGATAAGCAGAGTTAGGGCAGTGTGGAAATTCAGCTATGTCATGGCAGCATGCTACCACTTAACAGTAATATCTGAAAAATTAGTAACATGGAAATTTTTTGTACATTTTAGACAGATCATATAAAAATACAAAGAAATAATATATGTGATAAATATCAAGTTACATATAAAGTAGAATAAAAATGGCTAAACTATACTGGTTACTTTTTATTTCATGAATTGAACTCAACAGGATATAAGGATTGAGCATCTGCCTTTATATGCATATAGTCCAATTCAAACACAAACTGTGCAGTGGAATAACAAGGAGAAATTGACAAATTTGACAAATCTATCCATGATGGTAGATATCAATGTATCTCCCTCATGAATAAAGAGTTTAATTAGACATAATGTAAAGAAGAATACAAGTAATTTAAGGAACATAATGAATAAGACTGATATAATAAACATGCACAGAACTCTGAACCTCCAAGTCAGTGACTACTCATTTTTCACAAGTACACATGGACAGTTCATTAAAATTGAGCATTCACTGGCTAAAGAGCAAGACTCTTGTCTACAATACAATTAAATTAGTAATCAATCAACAAAATCAAAATCCTAATTTTTTTACATTTTAAATATACGTATAAATAATGGATCAAGAAGAAATAAAAAATTTAAACACAAAACCTATAACTTAGAACTTATACATCAGCTGAAGGAGAAATACAAAGTTAAAATAAACAATATGTATTAGTCCATTTTCACACCGCTATAAAGAACTAGTTGAGGCCGGGCGTGGTGGCTCACGCCTGTAATCCCAGCACTTTGGGAGGCCGAGGCGGGCAGATCACAAGGTCAGGATCCTGATCGAGACCATCATGGCTAACACGGTGAAACCTCGTCTCTACTAAAAATACAAAAAATTGGCCGGGCGTGGTGTCGGGCACCTGTAGTCCCAGCTACTCGGGAGGCTGAGGCAGGAGAATGGCGTGAACCCGGGAGGCGGAGTTTGCAGTGAGCCGAGATCACGCCACTGCACTCCAGCCTGGGTGACAGAGCAAGACTCCGTCTCAAAAGAAAAAAAAAAAACTACTTGAGAGTGGATAACTTACAAAAAAAAAAAAAGAGATTTAATTAACTCACACTTCCACAGGCTTAACAGGAAGCATGACAGGGAGGCCTCAGGAAACCTACAATCATGGCAGAAGGTGAAGGGGAAGCAAGGATCTTCTTCACGTGGTGGCAGGAGAGAGAGAGAGAACAGGGAAGTGCCACACACGTTTAAACCATGAGATCTCATGAGAACTCACCCACTCTCACAGAACAGCAAGGGGGAAATCCACCCCCATGATCCAATTACCTCCCACCAGACCCCTCCTCCAATTCCACCTGAGATTTGGGCAGGGACACAAATCCAACCCATATCACAATAATAATTTAAAATAGAGTTAGTTGTTAAAAATAGAGCCACAAGATACACATCAGAGCCATGTGATCTTATACCCAAATAACAGTGTTCAAGAAATAGTAAATTTTCATCTTTTAATAAATTAGAAAAAGACTCCTCGATTTGAGAAGCTAGCATACCATTGATAACAAAACAAATCGTAGAATGGTAAAGTAAAATTAGAGAACATTTCCAGTTAGGAATATGGATATAAATACCCTGTGTACCACAAAATATTAAAGAAAGCATCCTGGTGGAGAAGGAAGGAGGGATGGATAGGTGGAGCATAAGGGACTTTGAAGGCAGCCATAATATTTTGTCTGATACTGCAATAGTGGATACATGACATTATAAATTTGTCAACACCCATAAAATTCTATAACACAGACTGAACCCTAAAGTATGGATTTCAGTTAATAATAGTGTATCAATGTTGGTTCATCAATTGTAACACATGCATCACCCTAACGCAAAGTGTTATAGAAAATACAAATTATAGAGAAACGGGGAGGAAGGGAGGTATATATACTCTTTGTACTTTCTCTTCAAATTTTTTAAAACGTGAAACTACTCTAAAAAATAATGTCTATCAAAAAATTATGATCAATTTCAGTTTATCCTAGGAAAGCAAGGATAAGTTAATAAGTATACATATATACATATATATAAATTTAATAATCTATACTAACAAATCATTACAGAAAATCATACGCATTTTAGTAGACACCAAACTAACTTGTAATTCATAAAAGAATGTCTGAGTAACCTGTGGCCGGGAGTGGTGGCTCACGCCTGTAATCCCAGCACTTTGGGAGGCTGAGGTGGGCGGATCACGAGGTCAGGAGATCGAGACCATCCTGGCTAACACGGTGAAACCCCGTCTCTACTAAAAATACAAAAAAAATTAGCAGGGCATGGTGGTGGGCACCTGTAACCCCAGCTACTCGGGAGGGTGAGGCAGGAGAATGGCATGAACCTGGGAGGCAGAGCTTGCAGTGAGCTGAGATGGCATCACTGGACTCCAGCCTGGGCGACAGAGCGAGACTCCGTTCCGTCTCAAAAAAAAAAAAGAATGTCTGAGTAACCTAACAGTACAAGTAAAGTTATTACCAGAAATATACAGAAAGCATCAAGGTGAAATATAAGAATTATTCCATTTGAAAGGGGTATGATATGCACAAAGATGAAAATTGAGCTCCTATAAAATAACATAAGGATTTGAAATAAAGACACAAAACTTACTGTTTAGAGTTAGTATCATTGACTATAAAAACCAAGACAATCTTAATTATAACAATGAGGAAGATAACAGAAATTCAGAATATCAAAAATATTTTTATGTAGAAATAAAAACAAAACATTTAATTTTAGAAATATATTATTTAATGCATTTTTGTTACATGTGTAGTGATAAAATAATAAAATAAATTTAGAAAGAAATATATTATTTAATAAGATATAAAAATCTGAGGACCAATACAGTATTGTGGTTAAAACCATGGATTTTGACAGGAACTCCTTTGGTTAAAATTGTGACTCATCACTAAGAGTATAATGGTGAATAAGTTACTTAACGTTCCTTTGCACCCCTTTTCTTATCTAAAACAAATATGAAAGGGATCTGACTCATAGCAGTGTTCTGAGTAATATAACAGACATACATAAAACCACTAAAACAATGCTTGGCACATAGTTAATGATTATTCACTACCATTATTACCATCGTTGTCATTTTATTATGCAATTTAATGTTTGTTCTTCGGTAAGCAATGAATAAGAAATATTAAAAGGTAGAAGCGTGTATAGGTGGGATACGTATCAACATACATATGTATAGGCGTGTGTACATATCAACTACGTAGAGGGTTCAAATCAGGTGAAATTACCTGCATGAATCAACTCTATTCTGGTATCCATATTCAGTAAAAAGCTATCTTTGAAATTGTGACTAACCTCTGAAAACAACAATGGCCCATTTGATCCTTTCCTCGTGTATAGTAAAATCTTGACCACGTGGAAAACACATTCTCCTAGCTTCCCTTGATGTTGGAGACCATCAAGCAAATTACAATAATTCAGAATATCATACTATGCAACAGAGTTCCTATTCTAATCTGGGTACCTGATCATCAGCACTGGTCATAAATTCCGTGGTCCTTAAGAGAGTAAAGCTAAAAGGGATGCATCAGGGAGTAATAAAAACAAATGCATTATGCTATGAAACGTTAACTGAAGCATTGTTCCTCCCTGATCCTTGAAGACTGAAAGCTCAAATTCAACTTTATACTTTGATGAAAATAAAGACAATTGTGGTTTCGATTTCTTTTTTTTTTTTTTTTGAGATGGAGTCTCATTCTGTTGCCCAGGCTGGAGTGTAGTGGCGCGATCTTGGCTTACTGCAACCTCTGCCTCCTGGGTTCAAGCGATTCTCCTGTCTCAGCCTCCCATGTAGCTGGGACTATAGGCACCCGCCACCGCACCCAGCTAATTTTTGTATTTTTAGTAGAGACAGGGTTTCACCATATTGGTCAGGCTGGTCTCAAACTCCTGACCTCAGGTGATCAGCCCCCCTCAGCCTCCCAAAGTGTTGGGATTACAGGAGTGAGCCACTGCACCTGGCCGCTTTCAAATTTTTGATGATCCATTTACAGGCAGTGTGTAAGAATTTTACCGAATGTCTCTGAATATGAGTTTTTCTCATACATAAAATAGAAATAGCAATTCATATCTCTTAATGTTATTTTGAATTAAAAGAAAAAATATAATCACCATTTATGCTGAACACAAAGTAAGGGCTCAAAACTAATTTCTTTTCCCCAGTCATTTCTAGACAGTTAATATCATAGATCAAAAAATTTAAATCAGATTGAAAATGAGTATTGGAAATATGGGACAAACATTTAATCTTAGAACAAATATGACAAAGTTTCTTCTAGCCAGAGATATCTATGTGATGATCATTTACACACACACATACACACACACACACACACACACACACAGATATCAAAACTGAAAACTCTCCGGACTATATATGGTTTCTCATTGTAAAAGCAAGTAGACATATTCATTTTCAGAATTTATATTCAGAATGTAAAATTTCAATGTGTTTTGCCTGCGTTATTATGCAGGTTTTGAGAAAATCTCATTTATGACTATATGTTTCAAGAATCGATGGGCTCCAGGGCCGACAATGCCCTAGCGGAAATCATTACCTGCCAGGGATGAAACAGCACTGCATCTACATTTTCCTCATATCCCACTGTATTTCTAAAAGCAGCACTTAGCATAGGGCATTGGCTGCACACGCAGCATCATAGATGGTCTTAATGAAATCAGATGCAATCCAGTCAAAGCAACGCAAAGGCACAGGACCCAAGAAAGCATTTCGTGGGCATCCTCCCAGGGTTTCACAGCCAGAATCAGAAAGGAAGCAATCCAAGGAAAAAAGCCACAGTTTATTATGGAAAATGTGTTCTGGGTGTACGGAAGGGCTAACTGTCTGAACAAAATGCTGGAAGCCAGGCATCTCACTGTTCTGCTTTGAAAAAGTGAGAGTCCCATGGAATGGATTAAGTATGAAACTTCCCCCATGTGTGATAAAGTCCCACTGGGAGGTGGTAACACACGCTTTCCACGTTTTCAAAGTGTTCCATCCCAGAACGTCAGGAGGATTAGGGGGTCTGTGTCACCACAGACAGCAGTCACATTTGTTGATGGATCTTCAGTCTTGGCCAATGTTATCCTGCCTGCTGATGGCAGAACACCCTCCAAGACAGTTTCTTTGTAAAGCCTGAATAGATGCTTTCCCTGGCCACTTCTCTCAGTTCCTAGAAAAAATGCCCACCTTTTTTTTTTTTTTTTTTTTGAGACGGAGTCTAGCTGTGTCGCCCAGGCTGGAGTGCAGTGGTGCAATCTCGGCTCACAGCAACCTCTGCCTCCCAGGTTAAAGCGATTCTCCCACCTCAGCCTCCTGAGTAGCTGGGATTACAGGCATGCACCACCATACCCAGCTAATTTTTCTATTTTTAGTAGAGACGGGGTTTCTCCATGTTGGTCAGGCTGGTCTCGAACTCCCGACTTCAGGTGATCCACCCGCCTTGGCCCTCCAAAGAGCTGGGATTACAGGCGTGAGCCACCGTGCCTGGCCAAAAATGCCCACCTTTTATGTCATCTGAGACAAGCAGCCCTACCAGGTCTAGCTAAAATGCTGCAACAGCTTCACCATGCCAAGAGGCAAAGATGATTCCTTGGGACCATCTGATACAGAGATGGAAACTGTCCTTCATCACTAGGCAAAGGATCAAATGGACATACATAACTAATCTTAGAGGAAAAGGAAAAACAATATCCATTTGTATTCAGAAGTGATTTGAGGGAGAAGGGCACAAACACAATACATCAGGCACTTCACTTTCTACTCCTAGAAGAAATTCAAAGCTAGCAAGTAAATTACTAGAGAAATTGATGAACGTGTGTAAAGGCAAAATGCTCAGAGTTTTTCTTAACAAGAGTTAAAACTGTACTCAACTCATTCATGAGAAAACCATTTTGAAGACAAAAGTCCTGATTTGTAGAACATTTGAAGAGCAAGGTTTCATATAGCCATTGGCAAACAGGTAAGCTACAATAAAATTTCTAAGAAACATACAAAACTGGTTAATATTATCTAGGGTAATAAAATTGTAAACAAAGTTTCTTCTCTGCCAGCATCCCTTCCCCTCCCCAAAATCTCAGTTTACCAAATCTCCCTATAAGCTAATCTGTGGGTTTACAGGGCTATAAAAATTCCAATTTTGACTATTAGTCAAGGAAACGATTCTGGAGAGAGTCAGAGGATGGTCAAAAATTCTTCGCAAAGCCGGGTGCAGTGGCTCACGCCTGTGATCCCAGCACTTCGGGAGGCTGAGGTGGGCGGACCACCCGAGGTTGGGAGTTCGAGACCAGCCTGACCAACATGAAGAAACCCCGTCTCTACTAAAAATACAAAAATTAGCCAGGCGTGGTGGCGCATGCCTGTAATCGCAGATACTCGGGAGGCTAGGGAAGGAGAATCACTTGAACCCGGGAGGCGGAGGTTGCTGTGAGCTGAGATCGCGCCATCGCACTCCAGCCTGGGCAACAAGAGGGAAACTCTGTCTCAAAAAAAAAAAAAAATTCTTCGGAGATATAGCAGTTAGATAATAACAGCATGATAGTAAAGAATAAAGCAATTATTATTTCACCATTTTGAAGTTGAAGATACTACATTTTCTTTTGGAAAGGGGAAGATTTACTTGTTCATTTTTTTAAATGTATCATCTTCCCTCTGGGAAAAATTAATCTGGAAAGTAAGTGTTCAGATATAGAGTTCCCAGAGCTGGCCTGGCTGTGCCAGCCAGGGATGCCTCACTGCTGCCCATCTCATTCTGTCTCCTTCTTACCCTAAATAAACACTGGCAGTGCAAGGACTTTCTGTCACCTTTGGGGGCTTCAAAGACTGTTCTGAGCCACCTTTTGTTGACATGCCTTGTAATAACAGCAAAGGACATTCAATGTCATCTCTGACCCACCCCATCCTGTCTCACCTGTGGTAGTTTGTAGATTTCCATCAACATCTCCAACTGAGAAACAAATGCTGATATAGTTCCTTCAATCGCTGCTATGGATTTGCTCTGCCTCTCACATGTATAATTGGGAAGGTTCTCGGCCCCTCCTGACAGCCAAAACAGAGGGCCCTCCAAAGTCCTCTGATCAGTGTTGCAGGCATTGTAGACGTGATACCCCAAAGACATGTTGAGTAAGAGCAGCGGGCCCCTGTTGATCTCCTCGATGGCAAAAACGAACACGAAAAGAGTCAAAATGCATGTTTAGAGGACAAACTCTCACACCTCCCACTCAAGGCCTCACAAAAGCCATCTCTACCCTGACCTGAGCATGTGAAAATGAGGTACACAAGACTCAGAGAGCCGTGAATTAGCTGAGTACCAGAGGATAAATCAGTATGCAAAGAGTACAATTTAAGACACTGCAATTTAATGGTGAGTTGGGTTTCCAAAGGAGTCAGTATGGCAGGACTTCAAGGGCGTTTATTCACTTTGTTTACCAAGAAACTAACCAGTGGCTGAAATTGAAACTAAAGTAGACAGTGGGCGTGGGATAAGAAAGGATATTGAGGATAAAAGATCAGGGTCCATATAAGAGGCCAGGCTGGACAAGGAATCAGAGAGGGCAGGTAAGAAAGGAGAATGTATTTTGGAGGAAATGGCCTCACACATTGGCTGGGTTGCGGATGCTTAAACATCATTTGGTTGTGCCTCTTGGGTCAGAAAAAATAAATCCAGGCTTTAGAGTCCTTAGAAAAGAGTGGGGAAGCATGGCATTGTAATGATTCTGGGAGAAGCATAAAGAGGCCAACAATGACTAATCACAAGCAAAGAAAATTCTAAAAGCATTGTGGCCTTTAAAAAAAAATTTATATCACCCAAATACCTCAAGCAATGCTGGCAAGAGCTAAATTCAATTTTCCTTCACTCTTTTTCTGACTTACAGGCAGCCTCATTTCATGTTGAAATGCCTCCCTTCCCCAAAGTTGCAGGATAAGCACAATCCCAACAAATGACCCAATAGAACAAGGACTGCCTTCAGCTATGTTGTTCTTTCTAATTTTCAGTGGAAAAAGCAAATTCTTAAAGGTCTTCAAGAGGTAGAAGGGCTGTAGGAGGCATTCGGGTATTATAATAATTGCAGATTCTATGGTAGCCTACGTATAATATTGTGTGTGATATTCTCAAGCCCACTGCTAAGTACACATAAATATCCACACTTCATATGTGGTAATATTTCCTGAAATAGGATAAATGCAAGATAAATTCTAAGCCCAAATTTAAATGCACTTCTGACTTTAAAACTTGTTATTTCTTATATATCCTTTGACCTCCTTAGAACTGACATTTAACTCCCTAAAAAAATACTAGAGCTTGTTAGTCAGGCAAACTACATTTACTAGACTTACTAGTACTCTCATTGAAGAAACAGTGAGTATATTAGTCCATTCTCACATTGCTATCCAGACACACCCAAGTCTGGGTAATTTATTATTTATTTATTTATCTGAGGCAGAGTCTTGCTCTGTCACCCAAGCTGGAGCGCAGTGGCGCGATCTCGGCTCACTGCAAGTTCCACCTCCCAGGTTCAAGTGATTCTCCTGCCTCAGCCTTCCAAGTAGCTGGGATTACAGGTGTGCACCACCACGCCTGGCTAATTCCATGCCTGGCTCTCTTACTGTAAATGAGAATAAGAATATACTCTGCTCAAAGTCTTAGTATAATAGCATGTCTCAAAATAGAAAATTGGGCAGAGTGTTCATAGGGTTTCAGAGACTCAGCTGGATGTTAAAATCACCCAGGGTCTAGGCTGGGTGCAATGGCTCATGCCTGTAATCCCAGCACTTTGGGAGGCCGAGGCGGGTGGATCACAAGGTCAGGAGATGAAGACCATCCTGGCTAACACCGTGAAACCTCATCTCTACTAAAAATACAAAAAATTAGCCGGGTGTGGTGGCGGGTGCCTGTAGTCTCAGCTACTCGGGAGGCTGAGGCAGGAGAATGGTGTGAACCCAGGAGGCGGAGCTTGCAATGAGCCAAGATCACACCACTGCACTCCAGCCTGGGTGACACAGTGACACTGTCTCAAAAAAAAAAAAAAATTCACCCAGGGTCTTACAAGGAGCAGAACAAGTTGGGACTAATCAGAGTTTCTGATATAACAGCTGTGTACTGCAGGAGCTAGCTAAGTCTTAAAGCAAACCTTAATAAATCAGCTCTTAGTCCAATAAGTAAGTTGTTGAATTGGTTCAGCCTTTTTTTTTTTCCAGGAGCAGTTATTCCCTGCAACAAGCAGTTTTTTTTTCACTTGTTCTCGGTGTTGTTCATCAAAAATAGGACAGTGTGCTTAATCTCAAGACTGTTTAGCACAGAGAGGGATAGAGTATGTTGGCCTCAAAAACTGTTGAACGTTATGACAGGAAACTATGCAGGTTTGTAGCATTATTGAACACAAGAACAATACATTATTTCCATATTTTTGGATTGACAATTGTTAAGGTCAGAAATGTTTGTTTACCCGTGGAATAGATCATTAGGATAGTGGCAAATGTTCATAGGCCATAGGACATGACAGACATTAGCCTAAACCTAAAAGAAACTAAACAAACTAAACAAACAAACAAACCAGTGAAAGATTTCCATTTAAAAACAAAGAAACTATTTTCATTTTAGTTCTCAAAAAATACTTAGAAAAGTAGAAATTACTGGAGTTTAGATGACAATATATTGAAGCTCAAAACAAAAATAAAATTTAACTCCTAACATGCGTACACACGCACGCACATAAAAAACTCACATGTGTGGCCGGGCGCAGTGACTCATGCCTGTAATCCCAGCACTTTGGGAAGCCGAGGTGGGCGGATCATGAGGTCAAGAGATCGAGACCATCCTCGTCAACATGGTGAAACCGTGTCTCTACTAAAAATACAAAAATTAGCTGGGCGTGGTGGTGCATGCCTATAGTCCCAGCTACTCGGAAGGCTGAGGCAGGAGAATCATTTGAACCTGGGAGGTGGAGGTTGCAGTGAGCTGAGATTGCACCACTGCACTACAGCCTGGCGACAGAGCCAGACTCTAAAAAAAAAAAAAAAAAAAAAAAAAAAAACACCTCATGTGCACATGCAAATGCACACAAGTATAGATGGAGGCATCTATCAGTAAATACACGTATTACTCAGACCTGGTGGGTTATCTCCACGGCCTGTCCAAAATCCTGGGGGATTATAATCCTATCCACCAAATTCTTCCTCTGTGTTGATTTAGATTTTCTAAAAAGAGAATGATACTTAAATTGATAACTATAATTTGGACAGATTAACATAGCAAAGTAAAATATTTTGAAAAATAATTGCTTAACCATAATCATTTTTTTAGTAATTTTATTTTGAAATTCTTATGGACTCCTAAGTTTTCTCCACTGTCATCTTCCACATGACTGTAAACAAGGTAGAGGTGTTTGAGACATGGTAGGCCTTTCATTTTGTTTTTATTTTTGCTTTTTAGCAATTATGGTTATAAACTGCCTTGAATCCTTGGGCTGAAAAGCAAAATGTTTTGAGATGCTTAGAGTTTTAAGGAATTAGATCTGAATTTGAAGAAGGCATTTTAGTTTATACCAACGCTCACTGATATGGTTTGAATCTGTGCCTCTGCCCAAATCTCATGTCAAATTGTAATCCCCAGTACTGGAGGTGGGGCCTGGTGGGAGGTCACTGGATCATAGGGGCGGTTTCTCATGAATGGTTTAGAACCATCCCCTTGGTAATCTTCTAGTGATAGTGAGTTCTAAGGAGATCTGATTGTTGAAAAGTGTGTGGCACCTCCCTCCACATTGGTCCTGCTCCTGCCATGAGAGACATCTGGCTACTGCTTTGCCTTCTGCCATGATTGTAAATTTCCTGAAGCCTCTGCAGAAACTGAGCAGATGCCAGCATCATGCTTCCTGTGCAGTCTGTGGAACCATGAGCCAATCACACCTCTTTTCTTTACAAATTACCCAGTCTCAGCGGGGTGCACTGGCTCACACCTGTAATTCCAACATTTTGGGAGGCAGTGGCATTCCTCACTTGAGGTCAGGAGTCCAAGACCAGCCTGGCCAACATGGTGAAACCCCACCTCTACTAAAAATACAAGAATTATCCTGGCATGAAGGTGCACACCTGTAATCCCAGCTACTCAGGAGGCTGAGGCAGAAGAATTGCTTGAACCTGGGAGGCAGAGGTTGTAGTGAGCCAAGATCATGCCACTGCACTCCAGCCTGGGCAACAGAGCAAGTCTTAAATAAATAAATAAATAAATAAATAAATAAATTTATAAAATAAATTACCCAGTCTCAGGTATTTCTTGATAGCAATGAGAGAATGAACTAATATACTCACTCACTATTTCTTCAATGAGAGTACTAATCTTTGTACTGGTAAGGAAAATAAAATATTTTCAAGCCAAAAGCATGAGATTTGGGAGAAATATAAATTTATACCAGAAATGTATAGTAAATTTTTCTTACAAATTGATATTTAATGAAATTTGCATAGATTTTTATCTCCTACATGTCAAATTTCATAAAGTATATATATATATATATATATATATATATATATATATATATATATATAGTTTTTTTTTTGAGACAGAGTCTCACTCTGTGGTCCAGGCTGGAGTGCAGTGGCGCGATCTCGGCTCACTGTGCGCTCTGCTTCCCGGGTTCACGCCATTCTCCTGCCTCAGCCTCCAGAGTAGCTGGGATTACAGGTGCCCGCCATCACACCCAGCTAATTTTTCTATTTTTAGTAGAGACGGGGTTTCACCATGTTAGCCAAGATGGTCTCGATCTCCTGACCTCGTGATCCGCCTGCCTCGGCCTCCCAAAGTGCTGGGATTACAGGCGGGAGCCACCGTGCCAGGCCCATAAAGCATATTTAAAAAATAA
Organism: Homo sapiens; assembly: GCF_000001405.40. NCBI lineage: Eukaryota > Metazoa > Chordata > Mammalia > Primates > Hominidae > Homo > Homo sapiens. The sequence goes on along the minus strand of NC_000009.12, from coordinate 39,021,974 downwards.
GTGATTTTAATTAAAATAAGAAACTTGAATTCAGACCAGTATTTAAATCCAATCCCAGAAATGAACATTAGTTACCGAGAGGCAAAAATATTTAAGGAATCAAATGGGCCTAGAAATATTTAGTGTTTTGCCTTGGATAACTGCATTATTTGCAATGAACCTTCAAAAATCATGTAGTAGGTAATCCCGGTTAACCTAAATTAAATTGTACCCAGATTGATTGATAGCACCTGCCCATTTTCTAGTTAATGGCAGCCATCCACTGAGGAGAGGAACTGCCTACCGTGACTGGGAAGAGTGAATGAGAACTTTATTGTAAAAACTCAAAGTACCCAGTGAAGTTTGAGATAATATTTGAGTCATTCATTCATTCATTCATTCATTCATTCATTCTTTTAACACATATCCAGTGTCTTGTATGCGCCCAGGCACACAATATTCTAGCAAGAAGTTTTATAAAAGTGAGTAAGATAGATTAAAAATTCCTGCTCTAGTTTTATTTGCAATGCATTTAGGGGAAACATTTTTTTAAAGTAAGGCACAGGTGAATTCTGGGGAGACGGGCTGGGCACGGTGGCTCACGCCTGTAATCCCAGCACTTTGGGAGGCTGAGGAGGGCGGATCACAAGGTCAGGAGATCGAGACCATCCTGGCTAACACGGTGAAACCCTGTCTCTACTAAAAATATAAAAAAAGTTAGCTGAGCGTGGTGGCGGGTGCCTGTAGTCCCAGCTACTGGGGAGGCTGAGGCAGGAGAATGGCGTGAACCTGGGAGGCGGAGCTTGCAGTGAGTCGAGATTGCGTCACTGCACTCCAGCCTGGGCGACAGTGTGAGACTTTGTCTCAAAAAAAAAAAAAAAAAAAAAAAGAGTGATGTGATTGGATCAGTTAGTGTGAGTGGAGGATGTAGAGACAGGAGGGTGAGAGGGGAACCTGTAGAAAGAGGACTCCTCTCCTCACTCCCGTCTGTGGCAAGAGCATCCCTGCCCCCACTCTGAGCGCACTCCCCCGCCTCTGCTTTGCTTCAGTCACTTGCATGGTTAGAAACCCCATTTTACGCCGACCGCGGTGACTCACGTCTGTAATCCCAGCACTTTGGGAGGCGGAGGTGGGCGGATCACGAGGTCAGGAGATCGAGACCATCCTGGCTAACACGGTGAAACCCCGTCTCTACTAAAATACAGAAAATTAGCCGGGCGTCCTGGCAGGCGCTTGTAGTCCCAGCTACTCGGGAGGCTGAGGCAAGAGAATGGCGTGAACCCGGGAGGCGGGAGGCAGTGAGCCGAGATCACGCCACTGCACTCCAGCCTGGGCGACAGAGCGAGACTCCATCTCAAAAAAAAAAAAAAAGAAAAAAAAAGAAAGAAACCCCATTTTACCTTAGGCTCACGGGGCACAGACTAGGTCAAATGAGCATTCCATTTTCGTTTTTAAATGTCTAATGTTCTTTCATACAGCACCCTTGGTAAATATTTTATAAAGAGGATTAGAATATGTATTGTTACTAAACAGAATATGTAGTGGAGGAACACTCTTTCTCAATATTAGCTAATAAATATGTATTTTTAATAAGCTGATTAAGGCTTTGTTAGTTTCTCAATGATAACATCGGGCCCATGGTTCTCAATCAGGGTATGATTTTGCCCCTCAGAGGACATTTTGCAATATCTGGAGGCATCTTCAGTTATTATAAGTGGGGCTGGGTGGGTGCTGCTGGCATCTCATGGAGAGAGACCAGAGATGCTGTTAAACATCCTATAATGCACAGGACAGGCCCCCACAACACAGAATTATCCAGCCTAAAATGTCACTAGTGCTGAGGGTGAGAAACTCTGACACATCTATTCAGTCATGTTCTGGCAACAGCCAATAAAGTCAGCAATTAAAAATTTGTATTGTAGGGCCAGGCGCGGTGGCTCACGCCTCTAATCGCAGCACCTTGAGAGGCCAAGGTGGGCAGATCACGAGGTCAAGAGATGGAGACCATCCTGGCCAACATGGTGAAACCCGTCTCTACTAAAAATACAAAAATTAGCTGGGCATGGTGGCATGCGCCTGTAGTCATACTCAGGAGGCTGAGGCAGGAGAATATCTTGAACCCAGGCGGTGGAGGTTTCGGTGAGCCGAGATCGCACCACTGCACCCCAGCCTGGTGGCAGAGCGATACTCTGCCTCAAAAAAAAAAAAATTCATTGTATGAATATTCAAAATTATACATGATTGTAATTATAATTGAGTCATGAAGGCTGAAAATAAAGATAAATGAATGAAGCTTCATTTAAGTAGCAAAATGAAAGCCTCCCCATCCTCCATTATCCAACCAAGAGGAAGCATTTTACATTCCAATGTTTGCAATAAGAGTGTTTTATTTTTGGTCGTTCATGAATAGCAAATAATTGATCTTACAGTCGGCATTAAATAAAGAAAGTTGGTCAGAAAAGCAACCCACTTAATCACCCTCGAACAAAAATTTTGCAAATTGTCCAAGTCATTCAGGTAAAATATTTATTTTAATAAAATCTCTATTATTTTCACTGGAACAAGCCAAGCCTTTCTTTTTCTGGAAGCATCTACCCCTCTTTCAGATTATACATATTTTAAAATAAATGAAACAACGTGGTTGCTGTCTCAGTAGCTTTGGATCATGTGCCTGGCACTCTGCATGCAGCAGTAACCTGTGTGGTTTCCTTGGGTAAAACTGAAAGCATATTTAATTTTTTAAAAGTTTCTTTTCTAATTTAAATCAAAATCTGCTTTTTCTATCAAACTTGTACATTTTACTGTACCATTTTTTTCTCAGCAAATAATAGCTTTGATTCATGAATTTATCAGATTTATTAGAGATTTGGAGGGACGTGATGGTCACAATTTAGAAACAACTCATAAGGCCCTTAGCGATCCCTAACTTAATATTCTATGCTGATGATTGCAGAATGTGTAATAATCAAAACGGTAAATAAACTTTAAGTTTTAAGCCTCTTGGGTTTGGGGTTTGTTCGTTGGTATTGACAAAGATTGCTTGGTGAAACCTTAGTCAGTCAGCATCCCGAACCTTCTCCTAGGCCCATCTATGTATGTCCTTGTAAAATCCAGTTGTAGCAAAAATCCCCACTTAGTCAATTTAGCAAGCACCCCCATGCTGGATATCTGATCATCCTCCATATGAAATCAGGGTCTGCATCTTCCACTGTCCCCCAGGTGAGGTCTGATCACCCCCATCTGGCTTCGGCAGATTTAACCAGAATCCCCCTCACCCCTAATATTTCCTTCCTCTTAGTAACTTTTTATCCACTGACTCCCACACTGCTCCATAGCTACAAATTCCCACCTGCCCATGCTGTATTCAGGGTTAAGCTCAGTCTGTCTCCTCTCCTGCAATATTCTATTGCCTTGATGAATTTGTTAATTAAACATGACTTATTCATTTCACAATGTAAACATATATCAGAACATCACATTGTATCCCACACATATATGCAACTGTTATTTATACATTAAAAATAAGATTTTAAGAAGTCTAAAAACTAAAAAACACACACAAAAATTTAGGAAACAGCACACACACACACAATGGTAACTATATGAAATGATGGTTATGTTAATTATGTTGACTATGGTAATTATTTTACAATGTGTACATATACCAAATCACTATGTACCTTGAGTATATGTAAATTCGTATTTGTCTGTTACACTTCAATAAAGCTGGAAAAAAAATAGCAAACTGAATCCAACACTGTGTGAAAAGAATTATACACCATGACTAAGGGAGATTTATTCTGAGTATACAAGTGATAGGGACAGGATGCAGGGAAATTCTGGGCAGAAGAGGGTGGGTCCCCCATGAGGTCCCCACCCTCAAGCCAAAAAGCCTCTGGACCACGGCCCAAAGTGAGAACTTACATCCCTGTTTTCCCCCTCGAATGTTGCCTTTTCCTAAACCACCCATGGCTCCACCTCCAATCCTGTGCCTATAAAAACCCCAGAGCTCAGCCGGCAGAAAGAGGAGATGCAGCTGGGCATTGGAGACTACGGCTAGACATCGGAGAGAAGCAGCTTGACTTCAGAGGGACATTAGAAGCAGCTTGATGGCGTAGCTTTGGAGAAGAGTCAGCTGCGGACAGCCAGACTCCAGGGGAAGATTACCTTCCTGCTCTGACCCCTTTTCAGCTCCCCTTCCTGTTGAGAGCCACTTTCAACGGCAATAAAATCCCCCACATTTACCATCTTCAATTTCTTTGTGCAACCTCATTCCTCCTGGATGTCAGACAAGAACTCAGGTGCCCTGAGTGTGGGTGCAAAAGGGTGTCACACTGACCCTCCACTGAGGTGTTAACACTTTAGCTCTCCATGAATGGCAAAGCTAAAAGGGCACTGTAACACTTTCTCTGGGGGTTCAGGGGTCGTGGGCACCCTCCCCTAGATGCTGTCACAGGGTCAGTACAGAGTTTACTCTTGCTGGTGCCCAAAAGCACTTGCCCCAGCTCCTACACCTACACCTGCGCTCCCCCTCCGGCGAGGGGTGGAGCAGCAAATGAATGGAGTTCGCCCCTGCAGGCACTCATGCACTCCAGTTCCTACCCATGAAGGGGTCAGGGAAATATACTGCTTTACAAGTTTGACTCAACATTTGAAAATCATTTAATGCAACCCATCATATCAACAGCCTGAAGAAAATGAACCATATGTTCATAGTGATTATATCAATGGAGGCAGCGAGAGAATTTGACAAAATCCAACATCCATTCATGATTTAAAAATTCTCAGCAAACTAAGATGGAGAGGAATATCCTCAACCTCAAAAAGAACATCTGTAAAAAAAAAAACCCTACAACTGATATCATAATTAATGGTGAGAATAAATGCTTTCCTGTAAAGATGCTAAGATCAGGAAGAAGGCAAGGGTGTCTTCTGTCAGTACTTCTATTCAAGTCATACCAGCAGACCAAGCTAATGCAAACAGACAAGACAAGAAAAGAAAAGGTATACAGATTAAGAAGGACAATATAAAATTCTGTTGGTTCACAGATGATATGATTGTCTATGCAGAAAATCTCAAAGAATCAACAATAGAAAAAAAATTCTGGAACTAAATGATTATAGCAATAATTCAAGATACATGTATAATATATGAAAGTCAACTGCTTTTCTTTATGCTAGTAATGATCAATTGGAATTTGAAATTAAAAACAATACCGATTATATTAGCATTGAAGAAAAAGAAATACTAACAGAATGTGAGCAAGATCTATAAGAGGAAAACTATGAAACTCATCAAAAAAGTCAAAGAAGATTCAACAAATTGAGAAACATTCCATGTTCATGTATAGAAAAACTCAATATTATTAATTCCCAATTTGATCTATAAATCCCTCGACTGAAATCCTCACAAGTTATTTTGTGAATATTGTGAGACTGAGCCTAAAATGTATATGAGAAGGCAAAAGACCTACAATAGTCAACACAATGTTGAAGGAAAATAGCACCATCAGAGAACATATACCACCCAACTTCAAGACTTGCTATAAAGCTAGTAATCTAGACAGAGTGGTGTTGGTGAAAGTATAGAAAAATAGGTCAAGAGAACAGAATAATGAGTTCATAAGTAGGTGCACACAACCATAGTCAACAGATCTTTGACAAAGTAGCAGGGGAAAGACAATGTACAAAAAATCTTTTCAAGAATTTATGCTGGAGCAGCTGGACATTCACATACCAAAAAAAAATCGAATCTAAACACAGACTTTATACATTTTACAAAAATTAATTTAAATGTGTCACAGACCAAAATTAAAACACAAAACTATAAAATTCCTATAAGATAACTGAGATAACACAGGGGAAGAGCTACATGATTTTTTTTTTTTTTTTGAGTTGAGATCTCGCTCTGTCGCCCAGGCTGGAGTGTGGTTGGTGCTATCATGGCTCACTGCAGCTTTGAGCTCCTGGGCTTATGTAATCCTCCTGCCTTACCCTGTGGAGTAGCTGAGATTATAGCATAGGTGACTTTTTATTTGGCAGCGACTTTTTACATCCAACACTGAATCCTCGATCCATAAAATTTTTTAAAAAGGTGAATTTCATTAAAATTAAAAATTTCTGAGACTATTCAGAGAATGGAGAGGCAAAAAATTAGGAAACATTTTTGCAAAACACATAAATGATAAATAATTGATGTCCAAAATATACAAAAACTCTTAAAATTAAAAAAAGGAAACAGAAGATCTGAATAGATATCTCACCAAAGATGTTATACACGTGGCAAATAAACATTTACAAGTTGCTCAACATCATATGTCATTAGTTAATTACAAATTGAAACAGTATCGAGAAGCTATACACCTATTAGAATGGGTATAATAAAAAAAAACCTGACAATACCAATTTCTGACAAGGATATGGAGCACCAGAAACTGTCATTCATTCCTGGTGGGAATGCAAAATGATGCAACCACTTTGGAACACAGTTTGAGTCTTGCCAAATGATTCAACGATTTCACTCCTAGGTATTTACCTAAATGGGTTGAAAATACATGTCCACACAAAAGCTGCATATAAATGCTTATTGCAGCTTGATTCATAATTGCCAAAAATTGGAAGGAACCAATCATCATTCAAATTGTGTAAGGGTAAACAAACTTGGTATGTACACACTGAAATATTAGTCAGCAATAAAAAAGTTAATTATCAAGCCATGAAAATACATGGCAAAACCTTAAATGCACATTGCTCAGTGAAAGAAGCCAGTCTGAAAAGATGATATACTGTATGATTTTAATGATAAGGGATTCTGGAAAAGGCCAAATTCTAGAAACATTAAAAAATCAGTCATTGTCAAGTTGTAGGTGCAGAAGAGGAAAGGTATTGATTTAAAATTGTAATATAAAATTTATACAAATAACTAGTGTGGACTATTGCATCCTACCCTAGTTACCACCACTGTTAACATTATTCAGCTGCTCTTTTTCCCTGTCCAGGTCCCATGCCCATATCTACTGTGACAGTCACAGTAGAGCCTCTTGAGGTAGGCCAGCTTCAGCATGACCTGTTTCTCTAGGATGTCTGCATGCAGCTCTGTCTATTACAATGGTGTAATACCTACATGGCAGGCATTTGGCATGAGGAAAGTGTCCCAACTTAAACAAAAGTGTCTGGCAGGCTTATGTCAGAGCAGAAAATCCCCTTTTCAAATCAGAGAATTTCCCAATTTAAAGTTATTTCATCATAGCCTGTCGAGGCCAGATGACATCATAGGTCTCCTCATTCAATCGCTTCATGCTGTGGATGAAGGGACTGAGTCTACAGAAGAGTTGGGTTATCTTCCCTTGCTTTTCATATGATGGAATCTTTAGTCATGCCTGAGTCCAGTGAGTGACTTTTGGGTTCTGAAAGGCTGAACTTCTACCCACAGGATGCTTGGCCTGATAAACAGAAGATTCAGGAGATTGACAACCACATTATGTTTTTTCTTAGCTTCATTCAGCACTGCTTTTTAGTCCATGCTTCAGTTTTCTCAGATCATTCTTAGCCTCAGACACTGGAGGTTAAGTATCTCCAAAAGGCACTCCTGGTTCAATTCCTAATTCCCCTACAGAATTCACTCCCCATTCAATAAATCTTCACCCAGTGTCCAACTGTGTGCCAGACACTATGCTGGGTACTTTGATGGAGCAGTGAAGAAACAGACATGGGGCTATTATATCTGCTATCTGGCCAGGCACGGTGGCTCACACCTACAGTCCCTAGCACTTTGGGAGGCCAAGGTGGGCAGATCACTTCAGGTCAGGAGTTCAAGACCAGCCTGGCCAACGTGATGAAACCCTGTCTCTACTAAAAATACAAAAAATTGGCCGGATGTGGTAGCAGGCGCCTGTAATCCCAGCTATTTGGGAGGCTGAGACATGAGAACCTCTTGAACCCAGGAGGCAGAGGTTGCAGTGAGCCAAGATTGTGCCATTGCACTCCACCCTGGGTGGCAAGAGCGACACTCCATCTCAAAAAAAAAAAAGTTATTTATCCAGTGAAGGAGAGACAATAACAAGGAAACAACTTGGTAAACAAGCAAGTGTAAATGATTTTCAGTGCTGTAAGGAAATGGTTGTAGTGAGACTATGGACAGGGTGTTGGCATCTTCCTAGAGTCAGGCAGCTTGTGTCCAAGAAAGCAGAGCCAGGGGCATGTAAACAGAATTGTGTATATTTAAGGTATACAGGCCTGGCGCGGTGGCTCACGCCTGTAATCCCAGCACTTTGGGGGGCCAAAGCTGGCGAATCACCCCAGGTCAGGAGTTCGAGACCACCCTGGCCAGCATGGTGAAACCGCGTCTCTACTAAAAATACAAAAATTAGCTGGTCGTGGTGGTGGGTGTCTGTAATCCCAGCTACTCAGGAGGCTGAGGCAGAATTGCTTGAACCCAGGAGGGGGAGGTTGCAGTGAGCCAAGATCTCACCACTGCACTCCAGCCTGGGCAACAAAAGTGAGACTCTGTTTCAAAACAAAACAAACATCAAAAAAGGTATACAATCTGATGTTTTGATACACATATACATTGTGAAATGATACCACTACCAAGCTAATGAACATATGCATCACCTCAAATAGTCACCATTTGTGTGTGTGGTGTGCGTGTGTGTGTGTGTGTGTGGTGAGAACATCTGAGAACTGCTTTCAGCAGATTCCAAGTATATAATACAGTATTAACTATAGTCACCATGCTGTAAATAAAATCTCCAGAAATTATTTATCCTGTATAACAGAAACTTTGTACCCTTTAGCCAACATCTCCCCATTTTTCCCATCTTCTGTCCCCTGGTAACTATCATCCTACTGTCTACATCTGTAGGTTTCACTTTTTTTTTTTTCCTTTTTAGATTGCATCTATAAGTAAGATCATTCAGTATTTGTGTTTCTGTGCCTGGTTTAATTCACTCACTATAATGTCCTCCAGCTTCATCCATTGTCACAAATGAGAGGATTTCCTTCTTTTCCAAGACTGAATCATATTCCATGGTACACAAATACTACATTTTATTTATCCAGTGACTTGTTGACAGACACTCAGGTTGTTTCCATATTTTAACTATTATGAATAATGTTGTATTGAATATGGGAGTGCAGTTATCTCTTTGAGATAGTGATTTCATTTCCATTGGATATATAACCACTAGTGGTATTGCTTAATGATATGGTAGTTTATTTTTAATTTTTTTTTTTTTTTTTTTTTTTTTGAGGCAGAGTCTCGCTCTGTTGCCCAGGCTGGAGTGCAGTGGCGGGATCTCGGCTCACTGCAAGCTCCGCCTCCTGGGTTCATGCCATTCTCCTGCCTCAGCCTCCCAAGTAGCTGGGACTACAGGCGCCCGCCACTATACCCGGCTAATTTTTTGTATTTTTAGTAGAGACGGGGTTTCACCGTTTTAGCCGGGATGGTCTCGATCTCCTGACCTCGTGATTCGCCCGCCTCGGCCTCCCAAAGTATTTTTAATTTTTTGCGAAAGCTGTTTTGGAAGAACCAGTCATCACAGAAACCTACACTGTTTTCCATAATAGGGGTACTAAGTAACATTCTCACCAACAGTGTACAAGGGTTCCCATTTCTCCACACCTTCATCAACACTTATCTTTAATCTTTTTTATGATAGCCATTCTAGATGTATGAAATTACACCTCGCTGTGGTTTGACTTACATTTTTTTCTGATGACTAGTGATTTTGATATATCAATATATTGATATTGATATAATACAAATATATTATAAAATTTTTTCATACATTTGTTGGCCAAATAGATATATTCTTTGGAGAAATGTCTACTTAAGTCCCTTGCCCATTTTTAAAACTGGGTTATTTGTTTTCTTGAAATTGAGTTGTATGATTTTAGTATGTATGTTGGATACTGACCCCTTACCAAATATATGGCTCGCAAATATTTTCTCCCATTCTATAAGTTGTTTCTTCACTTTGTTGATTATCGCCTTTGCTATGAAGAAGTTTTTTGGTTTGATGTAATCCCATTTGTCTATTTTTGCTTTTGTTGCCTGTGCTTTTGGAGTCGTATCCAAAAATTTATTCCACAGAATAATGTTACGAAGGTTTTCCCCCAGTATTTTTACATTGTTAGGTGTTAAATTTTTAATCCATTTTGAGTTGATTTTTGCGTGTGGTGTGAGACAAGGGTCCAATTTCATTCTTCTGCATGTAGATATCCAGTTTTTCCTACACCTTTTGCTAAAGAGACTATGTTTTCCATTCTGGGTTCTTAGCACCTTTGTTAAAGATCAATTTACTGTAATTGTATGGATTTATTTCTGAGCTCTCTGTTCTGTTAAATGGTCTATACCTTTGATGCATGCCAATACCATCGTGTTTGATGGCTATAACTCTGTAATATATTATCAAATTAGGTAATATAATTCATTCAGTTTTGTTCTTCTTGCTTAAAATTGCTTTGGTTATTTGGGATCTTTTGTGGTTCCGTATAAGTTTTTTTTTTTTTTTTTTTTGAGGTGGAGTTTCGCTCTTGTTGCCCAGGCTGGAGTGCAATGGTGCAACCTCTGCTCACTGCAACCTCAGCCTCCTGGGTTCAAGCAAATCTCCTGCCTCAGCCTCCTGAGTAGCTGGGATCACAGGCATGCGCCACTATGCCTGGCTGATTTTGTATTTTTTTTTAGTAGAGACAGGGTTTCTTCATGTTGGGCAGGCTGGTCTCGAACTCCCGACCTTAGGTGACCCGCCTGCCTCGGCCTCCCAAAGTGCTGAGATTACAGGCGTGAGCCACTGCGCCCGGCCTCCATATAAGTTTTAACATTGTTATTTGTATTTCTGTGAAAAATGCTGTTGGAAGTTAGATAAATATTTCATTGAATCTGTAGATCATGGTGAGTAGTATGAACATTTTGACAATATTAATTCTTTCAATCCATTATCACAGGATATTGTTTCATTTATTTGTGTCTTATTTCTTCCATCAATATTTTATAGTTTTCAGTGTACATACCTTTTACCTTATTGATTAAATTTACTTTTTTAATTTTTAAATTTATTTATTAAATTTATTTCTAAGTATGTGTTAGGGATTTTTATATATTAGATCATGTCATCTGCAAAGAGAGACAATTTAACTTCTTTCTTTCCAAGCTGGATACCTTTTATTTCTTTTTCTTGTTGACTAGGACACCCACTTGTATGTTGAATAAAAGCGGTAAGAGTGGGCATCCTTGTCTTGTTCCTGATGTTAAAGGAAAAGTTTTCAACTTGATTATACAGTGTCTTGGTGATGATCTCTTTATGTTTAATCTATTTGAAATTCTTTGAACTCATTGGTCTGGATTTTCATATACTTCTCCAGATTTGGGAAATTTTCTGTTATTTTCTTAAAGAAGCCTTTTTCCTCTTTCTATTTCTCTGTTCCTTCTAGGACTTTCTTAATGCATATTAGGTTTGCTTGATGGTGGCCCATAAATCCTGTCGGTCTTCTTCACTCTTTTCATTCTTTTTTTCTTTTGTTCCTCTGACTGGTTAATTTCAAATAAGCAGTGTTTGAGGTCACTGCCTCTTTCTGCTGCTTTATCAAGTTTGCTGTTGAAGATCTCTGAAATTTTTCAGTTCAGTCATTATGTTCTTCAGTTTCAGAATTTCTGTTTGGTTATTTTTTATGTTTTCTCTCTGTCAAACTTTTCATTTTATTCACACATTGTTTTCCTGATTTTGTTTGGTTGGCTGTGTCTTCTTGTGTAGTTCATTGAGCTTCTTCAAGCCAATTAGTTTGAATTCTTCTTCAGGAAGTTCATAGATCTCCATTTCTTTAGATTGGTTATGGGTATTACATTCTTTTTGTGATGTCATGTTTCCCGGATTATTTATGTTCCTTGTGGCTTTGCCTTGGTGTATTCATATTTGAAGAAGTAGGCACCTCTTACAGTCTTTACAGACACTTCAGTGGGAAATCCTTTTACCAGTCAGCTTGTCCGGAGATTCTGGTAAGGCCAACTGGCATGGTCCATGGGTGGGATTATTTTAGGGGGCTGGCCTGGTGCCTGGGTCAGTGGGCATGTGGGCCTGGCTCTTGAGTCCGCAACGGTTGGCCTGGTGCCTTGGCCTGTGGGGGCAGGCCTATAGCCCCAGTCCACTCAGTGGACTATGAGCATGGGTCTACATGGGTAGGTCTGGATCCTGGGTCTGTGGGTGTGGACTGGCTCCTGGGTCTGAGGTGACTGGCCTGGTACCAGAGCCCATGAGAGTAGACTTGGTCTTCAGGGATAGGCCTGGAGCCTGAGTCCATGAGGCCAATCTGGCACTGGGAAGGTCCTTGAGCCTGAGTTCATAGGGGCTATTCTGGTACTGGGTGGGCCCAGAACCTGAGTTTATGAGGCTGGGTTCAGTATAGAATCTATGGCAGCAGCCTGGCCCTAGGGTCAACTGAGACAGGCCTCATATCTGATTCCATTGGGAAAAGCCTAGTACCTAAGACCATGAAAACAGGCCTGGAATTGGGTCCATAGGGGTTGACCTTATGCTGGAGCCTAGAGCTGCAGGGGCCATCCTGGAGCTTGAAGGTGTGGGTGCCAGCATGGCTCTGGATGGGCCTGTTGCCTGAGGTCATGTGAGCTGGCCTGGGGCCTGGAGGCCACAAGGGCTGGTCTAGATCTTGGGGCCACAGAGGCTAACCTGGTGCAGGTATTGGCCTGCAGCTTGGGGATGCAAAGGTTGACCTGGTGCTGGGGCGAACCTGGAAGCTGAACTGGTGCTGGGGTGAGCCTGGAAGCTAAGTCTATGAAAATGAGCCACATATTGAGACCACAGGGATCAGTCTGGCATTAGGCACACTGGTATTAGGGCACACTGGTACCTGATTCCATGGGAACAGGTCTGGTGCCTGAGACCATGAAGGTGGGTCTGTAGCCTGGAACAATGGGACCGGCTTTGTGCCAAGATTCACTGGTAGGAGTCTGGTGCCAAAATCCATGTGAGAGTCAGGCACTCACTTCACTTTCCTTTCCCTATGCAAAAGGTATCTCTCTCTCTACTGTGATGTGCAAACTTGGGGTAGATGTCACATGGGTAATGCAATACTGTCCTTCTTACCTTATTCAATGTGCCTTTTCTTATTTCTATACTCTATCCAGGTGCTGTAATCTCTGACCTGGATTCCTTAGCTCTTGCAAAGGTATTTTCATTCATGGATGGTTGTTCAAATTGATTTTTCTGTGAGATGAGTGCTGAAAATGCCTATTTCACCATCTTGCTGATGTCACACTGAAAATTCAAATTCTGTCTTATGATGCTGGTTTATGGATGGCTTTATAGAAGCCCATCCTGTAAAGAGAGAGGGAATTAACACATTCCAAGCAGAGGAAATGGCAATTGATGGAAGAACTCAGTGGGTTCAGGAAACTGAAATAATGGATATAGATCTCCAATATGTAGAATACAGAGTGACAAAGAGGCCAGGACAGTTAATGGTGGGGATGGAGCGGGTGGGTGATCAGCCATAGGCAACATTGAATGTCATGGTCTGTAGGTAAAAACAATAAATGGTCTCATATTTTTAAAATATAAAATGTATAAAATGATTTCAAAAGTCACCAGGTGATAGATGCAATTCTAAAAAAAAATGTAGATCTTTAGAAAGGTTATTAAAGCAACTAAATGAGCAAGTTCCAGATTTTAACTGATTCTAGAGGTTTGGATATAAAATGAGATATTTCATATTTGGCCTGCTTGTACTGAACATTTACTGACAGATGTGCTTTTCTTCTGAACTAATTCTACCATGTGTGTGCTAATAAATTTTATGTAAAAACGTGTCCACAGTCAATTACATCTGGTAAACGCTAATTTGAAACAGAAGTCTTCTTTGAACCCTTAACCTGGTAAACATTTAAAATCTCCAAAAATAATGTAGAAATGCAGCAGTTACTACATTTACTTGACCATTGCTAATTCTTTTATTGAAGCATCTTGAAAGATTAGATTTTAGGTCACAATATCTGGTTATTTTTGGTTCTAAGAGATAATAGAGACTGTACAACAACAAATGTCACTATAGGGTATTACTTGTGGTAAACTATTTCTGTTATTTATTTCCTGTTAAATTAATTTAGAAAATCATATTCTGAAAGAACACAGTATAAACTTTTTATTTTCTGTGGCAGAGTTGGTAGATTGAATAAAACGACTTATTTGCATGTTGGTTCCAGCAAATGGGGTTGTCACCTGGCTGTGAGAGCAGCAGGAGCTAGCTCCGGCCTGGCATAGAGACAGAGGGCAGGGACTGATCCTCCAGCAGGCAGGAGCCGCTGCTTGCTCTGGCTCACTTTAGCACATTTTAGCAGAGAAATGCCTGCAATCCATATGGATTATAGCAGACAGCACGTTAATTAGGCTCTACATTATGGTGATCAATTATTTTTAAAAATATACCTCAGGCCAGGCTGGACGCAGTGGCTCACGCCTGTAATCCCAGCACTTTGGGAGGCCGAGACGGGCGGATCACGAGGTCAGGAGATCGAGACTATCCTGGTTAACACGGTGAAACCCTGTCTCTACCAAAAATACAAAAAATTAGCCGGGCGTGGTGGCGGGAGCCTGTAGTCCCAGCTACTCCGGAGGCTGAGGCAGGAGAATGGCGTGAACCCAGGAGGCGGAGCTTGCAGTGAGCCGAGATCACGCCACTGCACTCCAGCCTGGGCGACAGAGCGAGACTCCGTCTCAAAACAAACAAACAAACAAAAACCTACCTCAGGCCAGGTGCAGTGGCTCACGCCTGTAATCCCAACACTTTGCGAGGACGAGGTGGAAGGATTGTGTGAGCCCAGGAGTTCAAGACCAACCTGGGCAATAAAGCGAGACCCTGTCTCTACAAAAATTTTTTTAAAAAGTTAGCCAGGCATGGTGGTGTATGCCTATAGTTCCAACTACTCGAGAGGCTGAGGCAGAAGGATCGCTTGAGTCCAGGTGGTCAAGGCTGCAGAGAACCATGGTCACACCACTACACTACATGTCTCATTCTGATGTTACCCAATTTGTTGGCAAAAGCCTGTTAGACGCTTGGTTTTCCTGACTTCAAGGCCCATGTACTTCATCCTTCATGCCCTTGAATCTGCCCTTTTGTATTAGGTTTAATTTGTCATTTGAGCTAAGTTTCAGAAATCTTGGGCAGATTTTAAGTAAACTGAATAAAAAATAGTCCATTCTCTCAAATTTGGATTTTCTTTCTCTAGTTAAAATGGTAGCATTTTCATAACAGTTTAGTAGAGAAAATAATTTCATAAAAAGGGAGTTTTTTAAAAAATCACATCTCTTTATGAATATAATGCCATGCCAAAGGCATGTACCTTTTCTCCTAAACTAGGGCTTTTTAGGGTTATATAGAAAGAATCTTCACAGTCTAAAGCATTTTGAGTATGTTGTGGGCCAGAATACATTAACTGATAATTTACTATGCATGAATCAATTGACTAATGTGTCAGTGAAGGACAGATAGCAAGCAAACACCTGCCTACTATAATTTATTACTCAATATAAATGAAACTTATCACATTCTCTTTTTCTGATTACCAGAAAAAAAATCCTTTTAGTTCATTTTGGAAGAAAATTGAAACCTACATTAAAAGCATTACAATTTTTGGTAAAATATACCCTTGAGCAAATATATATGAAAAATGTTAATTGTAAGTTGGCTGTCATTCCTACCTAACATGTAGTTTATCTCAACACAAAGCTGAGCAGCCAAGCACAAAGATAATGCTAATTTTTTTATAGCCATTAATAGTTAATGCTAGAAAAGCTGTCATATTTTGTTTTAAAATATTCCCTAGAATGTAGTATTTCATATCTATGACATTTCATAGGAATACAAAAATGCATACCTCTCAACATTTATAACAACAACAAAATCCTTCAGTGTGATATTTTGGCAAAAATAAGGGAGAAAGTTCCAAATTTTGAATAAATTAATCTTTAGTACTTTTTCTTATAGTTGAAAAATGAGACAGAAAAATTCTTGTGTAAGACTAGACAAATATTAAACTGCTTTCACATTTTGTCTTAATTACTCACTTGGTTACATTCCTATTGAAGAAAAAGTTTATCAGTGAGTCAGTGAGGCACCAAGATGTCAAAGCATTAATACTACAGAATAAAAAAGCCTAATAAATACAAATGTCCACAGAACTATTTGTACACAAATGTTTATGGCAGCTTTATTTTTAATAGTAAGAAATGAGCCTAGATGTTCATCAACTGTTGAATAGATAAATGCTTGTAGTATAACCGTCCAATGGAATAGTAATCCAATATTTAAAAGGAATGAATTATTAATGCAAATGAGTTAATTTCAAAATAAATATGGTGGCCAGGTGTGGTGGCTCATGCCTGTAATCCCATCACTTTGGGAGGCCAAGGCGGGCAGACCACAAGGTCAGGAGATTGAGACCATCCTGGCTTACACATGGTGAAACCCCGTCTTTACTAAAAATACAAAAAATTAGTCGGGCGTGGTGGCAGGCACCTGTAGTCCAGCTACTCAGGAGGCTGAGGCAGGAGAATGGCATGAACCTGGGAGGCAGAGCTTGCAGTGAGCCAAGATCGTGCCACTGCACTCCAGCCTGGGCGACAGAGCGAGACTCCATCTCAAAAAAATAAATTAATTAAATAAAATAAATAAATACAGTGAGTGAAAAAAGGCAGACAAAAAGAGTACATACTGTAAAAATTGTATTTCTATGAAATTCTAGAAAATTCGAACCAATCTACGGTGACAGAAAAGAAATAAACAGTTGCCTAAGAAGGAGTGGGTACAAAGTGATTACAAAAACAAGCATTGCCAAAGGACAAAGGAAACTTGAGAGTGTGGTGGATGAGTTCCCCTCCTTGAGAGTGGTGTTGGTTTCATGGATGTATGTATGTGCCTATGCTTGTTAAATTGTATACTTTATACGTGTGCAGTTAATTTTACATAAATTTTAACCTCATCAAGCCTGTTAATAAAAGGTTTTTTTTAGATAAATATTAAGGGGAGAAATTGTTCTACCTGTAACCATAGTTGACCAAGATACATTTTCTTGTCACCATTACTAAAATAGTTATAGTGGACATATCTATTTGGATATGTGCTGGCATCTTACTTCCAACATATGTAAATCTTAACTGAAAATAAAGGACTGATTTTTAAAGAATGAGGCTTGTAGTGTGAAGCTAAATGGGCTCTCTAAAACAAAAGGAATGAAACCCCTGATTTGTAGCATTTGCTGATTTCTATTGTGTAAATTCTCTCACCATGGCTTTTATTACAAAGGATATGTCTAATACCTGGCTGGTAAAATTCTCAGATAGCTTCTCGGGAACACCTTCTATGACCAGTCAGGGTAAAGCTGAATTTCTTCTACCCATGGGTTACTCTCTTACCTGTGGACCTGCCTTTTCTTCTCAATTGACCTATAACACATTTATGTTTTTGTTTGAAATAGTCTCCCTATATTGGAATAGAGCCCCTTGGGAGCAATGACTTCAGCTCACGCCTATGTTCCCTTTACCAAGAAGGTCTCAACTCACAAAAGTGTTCAACCATTATTTATTTATTCTCCCAACAAATGTTTTGGACTGGGTGTGGAGCTGGGGGTAAAGAGGTGAGCAAATTAGACATAAATTTGACCTCAAGGAACATACAGTCTATTTGGGGAGAGCTACTTTAATCAAATACACAAATATTGGCAAAATTAAAGCTGCGATTAGTGATTTTAAAAAGACATATGATTCATTGGAAGCATAAAATAGCAGAACATGACTTACTCTAGGGAGTCAGGATTGCTTCTCTGAGGAATGACATTTGAGCTGAGACCTGCAGGATGAAAAAATTAATGTGAGAGTTTTTGTAGTGAGAAGAGCAATTCAGAAAGTAGAAATGGCTTATGTGAAATCGCTGTGGCAGGAGAGCAAGGAGTGTTGGGGGCCTGAGTGAAGGCTGGTGTGGCACAGTGAGCAGAGTGGGGAGCCCTGTGCATGGTGACTTGGGGGGACACAGAAAGACCATACAGGATTTTAGAGGCCTAGCTGAGTCTTTGGACTTTATCTCCTAGGCATTGGAATAACCAGAAGTCCTTGACACCACCGAGATAATGGGAAGCCATTAACACCATTTTGACCTGTGGATGACATGATCAGGCTTCCATCTCAAAGAGAACTGTGGATACACTGGGGATAATAGACAGGAAGGGGTCTGATATGGTTTGGCTCTGTGTTCCCACCCAAATCTCATATTGAATTGTAGTCCCCCATATTGGAGGAGGAACCTGGTGGGAGGTTATTGGACTATGGAGGCAGATCTCTCCTTGCTGTTTTCATGATAGTGAGTGAGTTCTCACGAGATCTGGTTGTGTGAAAGTGGGCAGCACCTCTCCCTTGGCTCTCTCTCTCCCTTCTGCCAGCGATGTGAAGATGTGGTTGCTTCCCTTTGGCCTTCAGCCATGATTGTAAATTTTCTGAGTCCTCTCCAACTATGCTTTCTGTACAGCCTGTGGAACTGTGAGTCAATTAAACCTCTTTTCTTCATAAATTACCCAGTCTCAGGTAGTTCTTTATAGCAGTGTGAGAACAGACTAATACCAGCATCAAGAGTAGCTGGGCGAGATCAGCTGGCCACATGATGGTGTCACTGTGCCCAGGGAGTTGATGGTGGTTAATACAGATAAATTCTAGAGATAAAATTGACTTGATTAAGTAGACATGAATGTGAGGAAGACAGAAGAGTCAGGAATGTCTTTTAGGCTTCTCAACTGCAAAGATGGCAGTCATTTTTGACTCTGAAATTAAGAATAATCACCAAGAGGGGGTAGGAGGAGAGATGGTGACTTTGGCTTTACATACTGTTCTCATGCTTGCTCTCATGTTATTAGAGTCTACGTTACTGCTCCTGGAAAAAATCTTCATCTCCAAATTATAAAAATATGCTTGGTAAAATGCCTGTTAAATTTGAGAGAGACTACAATTTCCTAACAGCATAGTCTAAAACAGTTCTGAAGAATTACTTTAAAATGTTCCTTATAACCTTCATTATACTACCAAATAGTAATTTATTCATACTTGTCTTTATGACTGAGTGGGAGAATTTAGAACTCAAGATTTTTTAAAAAATAATATTTATCATACAGGCTGAATAAAGAAAATGTGGTACATATACACCATGGAATACTATGCAGCCAGAACAAAGAGGAGGATCATGTCCTCTTCAGCAACATCGATGGAGTTGGAGGCCATTATCCTTAGCAAACTAACCCAGAAACAGAAAACCAAATACCGCTTGTTGTCACTTATAAGTGGGAGCTAAATGATGATAACACATGGACACATAGAGGGGAGCAACACACACTGGGGCCTCTCAGAGGGTGGAGAGTGGGAGGAGGGAGAGATTCAGGAAAAATAACTAATGGGTACTAGGCTTAATACCTGGCTGATGAAATAGTCTGTACAACAAACACCCATGACACAAGTTTCCCTATGTGATAAAACTGTACATGTCACACTGAAGTTAAAAGTTAAATAAAATTATCAGGCCGGGCTCGGTGGCTCATGCCTGTAATCTCAGCACTTTGGGAGACTGAGGTGGGCAGATCACGAGGTCAGGAGTTCGAGACCAGCCTGGCCAATATGGTGAAACCCTGTCTCTACTAAAAAAATACAAAAATTAGCTAGGCGTGGTGGCAGGCGTCTGTAGTCCCAGCTACTCGGGAGGCTGAGACAGGAGAATCGCTTGAATCCGGGAGGTGGAGGTTGCAGTGAGCTGAGATTGCACCACTGCACTCCAGCCTGGGCGACAGAGAGACTTCGTCTCAAAAAAAAATTATCATCAAGAGATTAAGTCATGGTATGAACAAGTGATATATTGTCTAAAAATACTTCTCTGTAAGATGCTTTAAAATTTTAATTACTAAGTTGCCATCATTTCTATGGGAAAATCTTATATTATTTGACCTAAAGCACAAATACCAGCACTTAAATATGAGTAAGTAAAAGCAGATAAATAATATAATTGCTTTCCATTTACACTCAGGTTAGAGGCAACCTCAGTGATTTGAGGAGGTGGTAGTGATTGGGCTTTTCTATAAAATGTTTATTTAAACATTTATAGAAAATAAAATGCTAAATCAAATAGGATTTAAACTTAACAATAAACAAAATAACTGAATAATTGTGAAGTTTTTATCTTTTATCTCCATGACTTTTGCTCCATGAAGATAGTCAGATACAAACACTATGCCAGTATCAGAAATTAAAATTGTATACTTATTTTACCTTTTGATTTCAATTTTTGAAGGAAAAAAATATGAGGTTACTTCAGAAAAAAATGTGTCAAAAAGATGTATTTTTTTGTTTTGCACAATTTTTAATTAGGACAGAAGTAGAAGCTGCTCTTAATAACTTTTCACTGACCCGGAGCCACTTGGAAATGTCCTACAGAGGTGAAAAAACAAAAAAAACAAAAAAGCAAGAAAACCACACCTCCTCTGAAGTGAGTCTGACATTAAAGACAATTCAAACTCACTCCAAAGCAGACATTTAGTGACTCAGACATGACACTTTATTGTGTGTGAGACAGGATGGGTAATGGGAACTGGGGTTAGAATCTCTAAGCAACAATTATGAAAAATGAATTACCGGCTGGGCGCAGTGGCTCACGCCTGTAATCCCAGAACTTGGGGAGGCCGAGGTGGGTGAATCACGAGGACAGGAGATCGAGACTATCCTGGCTAACACGGTGAAACCCCATCTCTATTAAAAATACAAAAAATTAGCCGGGCATGATGGTGGGCGCCTGTAGTCTCAGCTACTCAGGAGACTGAGGCAGGAGAATGGCGTGAACCTGGGAGGCGGTGCTTGCAGTGAGCCAAGATCGCGCCACTGCACTCCAGCCCGGGCGACAAAGCGAGACTCCTTCTAAAAAAAAAAAAAAAAAAGGAAAAGAAGAATGAATTACCACTGGATAAATTAATGAGAATCAGTATAAACTAAAATGTGGGATTCTCATGCTTTGCATTTGTTAACTTTTCCCTTTTACCGCATGTGAATTAACACATCTACAAAGACCACCGAAAAGAATATGCACGGTCATCATTTTATTCATCTATGAAAATTACTTCTGAGGAACTATCTACTAAACATTTTTGTGGACATGTCATAGTATAGTGACTTTAAAAAATCTTTGTTTTCTTAAACTTCCATGCTAAGATAATGTTTCATTCAAAAACTAAAAGAGTGTTCATTAATAGTAATCTAGGTGGGCATGCTATTTCTTTTTATAAAAAATTTTACTACTTATTTCTCAACATTTGAAGAGTGTATTTAGTTTCTGACTATTTAAGAACATGTATACCTGCCCCCTAAGAAAATAAATAATCAACATTTTAATTTTGAAATAAATTGTACTGTGTTTTAATTATCAGTCTTGGTCCAAGCGTATCTGCAAATATTTCTTTTATTTAATTAAGTACATCATTCTAATTTTCATATTTCAAGCTCAAACTTTTCCCATATTTCTAGTTTTCTACTGTCATTAGGAACTTTGCATATACCTATATCTGACACAGTTTCTCAGTAAAGTATTAATACATACAAATAATGCTGGCAACAAAATTCTTTCTGGGTTGAATAAAAACACACCACAAGGCCAGGTGCGGTTGCTCACTAATCCCAGCACTTTGGGAGGCTGAGGCGGGCAGATTACGAGGTCAGGAGATCGAGACCATCCTGGCTAACACAGTGAAACCCCGTCTCTACTAAAAATACAAACAATTAGTCGGGTGGGGTGGCGGGCGTCTGTAGTCCCAGCTACTCGGGAGGCTGAGGCAGGAGAATGGCATGAACCCAGGAGGCGGAGCTTGCAGTGAGTCGAGATCGCGCCACTGCACTCAAGCCTGGGTAACAGAGGAGACGCCAGACTCCGTCTCAAAAAACAAAAAACAAAAACAAACAACAACAACAACAAAAACATGCACCACAAATGTTCCCAAAGTGTCTGATAATATTGTTATGGTAGTGATGCTTGAAGAAGAAAATGCTAATATTAGAAGAACTGCTCATAAAAGAGAAAACGGTGGGAAACATGATAAAAACCACAGTGATGGATTATTAGCAGATCATTTCTCCCAAGCTTTAGGTGAAAGCTTCCTTTGGAGTTACAGTGCAAGCGGGCAGGTAAATACTAGGGGTCCTAACAATAGCAGAGAACTGAGAGCAAAATAGCCTCTCACACATTTTCTCAAAAAAAATGTACATCTGAAACTTGCTTGGGGCCCTCTCAAGATAACACCTACAATCTTAATCCACACCTAAATTATCAAATTCAGGAAGTAGCTTTCCTGAATCTCAATTTCAGTTTTCCTGTGCATAGAAAATGCTCAAATCCCAAGTCCGTATTTTCCATGTCCTGAGAAAAGCAGATGTCAGGAGGGTGTGGGGTGACTCACGGGTTAAAATCTGGGTAAGCAGCAGGATAGGGGCAGCGAATGAGCAAGGGATTTTGGAGCAAGAATGCCTGTTCTGTGAAGTGGGGGCCGGGCGAGTGAAGATGCATAGACTAGACAGGAGAGACAGGGTCTCTGTGGTCCCCTCACGGTGCCACATGTCCTCCTGGATTTCTGAAATGGGGAATGTGGAGCGTTGAGGTCCAGGGGTATCCAGGGGCCTTATATGTTCTATAGATGTAAAGGGATAGAGTTCTTAATCAATTGTTATACTTGCCTCTCTATTACAGAAATCTGCAATGACAGCTTTACTGATTTCTGTTTTGAATCCATTTAACCCCTGAGATCGAAAACATTTTGCTGGCCTTAAATGACAGCCTACAGAAAGCTTTAATAAATAAATTCTACTGAAGACTGCACAGTTCTCCTACCCATACCAAGTGTGAATTTTTGTATGTATGTTGAATGTGAATATGTTACAAGATTATCTAGAAAAATCTGGACTATCTATAACAACCTTCCTGGATTATATGGGAAGAAGAGGGCTAGTCTGCCGGAATGGTGCTTCCAGAGCAGTGTATGTCAGTCATGTGGACTCACTCAGCAGCATCCTTGGGCCCAGCTCCTGCTGCAGGCTCTGGAGGGATGCAGGAGACTATGGCCCAAGGCCTGCCTCCCGTTCTCTGGGACCTCACAACCCTGCTGGGGAGACCTGAAACCCCACCTCCAAAGACAGCAGAGCCTGGACTGACTGAGGGTCTGGCTCTCCCTCTGCTTCTCTGTGAAACAGTACTAATCATTTCATGTCTCTGGGAATTTTTCTGTTAAATAAAGGACCAGATTTCATGATTAGCAGGATTCTTTCAAACTCCAAAATTCTCTTTCTATGAGGGCAAGACAGCATATAATAAAATTTCACAGTATGATAATGTAGGGGTAGAAAAGATGTGAAATCTTTCCTTACCCATCATAAAGGTCACAGGCGACACTCCTATAACAAAAGACAGGTTAGCAAAAGTAATGCATGATACATTTATTTAATCAAAGTTTTACATGACATGGAGTCTTCAGAAATGAAGACCCAAAGACCCAGGGGAAACTGTCTATTTTAATGCTTAGGTTCAATGAAGAATGGGCAGCCACGTGAAAAGGTGATTGGACATCTCTTCAGATTCTTCTTGGCCTTTCTGTATGACATTCCTTTCCCTCGGTGTAAAGCAGGACCGCTCTGGAACCAGGGTCTTGTGATCTGCTATCAAACAAGGTAGGTCAGAGAATTTCTTCATGGCCAGCTGCCACACGGAAAGGCAAGGAAGGTTAGAGTGATATTTCCAGGGTGTCACGGCTTGCTTTGGGCAAGAAGAATTCTGGCTTCCAGGACTCACTTCAGGGGAAAAGCAGGGGGTGGAAGACAGGAAGGCAGGAGAAGGTCAGAGGGAAACTTGGCTTCTGGGGCCTTCAATCTCCTATAGTTCAAAGCACTCTGGATGCCAAAGCATCATACTTTGGGGTATAATTTTATGAGCCCCAGCAATAACAGTCTTTGTGGGAATTCAGAGAATGGGGAGGAATGTGTGAGCTGAAAAAGAATGAAGGAAGAGATGTCAACTAAAGTCAGCTTTTACCACGTGGCAAGCATCGTTCTCTTTGGTTTTATGGAACAACAGTTGTGAAACTGGGCAACTTTCAGACAAACCATTTCATTCCTTCAGTAAATATCTAAGCTCTTATTATTGTCTTAAGGTTCAAAACAGGTCTCCCCATCCCATCTGGCCCCTAAAAAGGATATGTACTTAGTTAAAGAACACAAGACAGGGAATTTGAAGAGTGACATTTTCCCCCCAAAGGCCAAATTTCTAACTTTGTGGTTCTTTCTAATGAGCTGTCTGTAGCTCAAGCCATACCCCTAGCAGCTGGATGATAAAAAAGGCTGTTTATTTGATCCTCAGACTGGGGAGGAGCACTAGTGATTTCTTTCCCTGCTTTACTGGCCCTGAGAAGAATACAACTTCTCGCTTGCACTCTGATTAGCAGCAGGTAGAAGAAAAAAGCTAATGTTAGAACTTTTCCCCTGTCCCTGATGCTCCAGACACTGATTCAGCAGAGGTGAAAGCTCTGCTTTCATTGTTCAGAGCTATAGATTTATGAAAATTGCTTCTTTTGATAGGCAGCCAGGCATGAAGCAGCCTTCTGCTTCTAGTCTCAAAAAAAAAAAAAAAATACTGAGGGCTAATGATGTAAATCGAAGATATTGCCATATTTCCTGGATTTGGATCTCATTGCTACTCCTAGAGCAAAGAATGGTTCCTATGACTGAAGACAGAAACCATACAATTCATTCAACATTCTGTCTTTGGTAATCCCTGAAAGCCACACTAGAAATTTAGGATTGTGTTAGCTGTAGGAAGGAAATCTGAAGTTCCCATGGAGAGAGGCAAGTCAAAGTGCAAATGTTGAAGCTGCCGTTTTTCTCCATCAGCTTTCTTGGGAATTGAGGTAGGGACTTAAAACTGTTTTCACTAATGGCTCTTTAGTGCATCATAGTGAGGTTTTTATTCTTCCCATTAGAACTGAAAAATCTAACATGCTGCTGCCTTCACACCTCGTTTTCTGTCTTCATTAGGAAAGTAAATAGTGGCATGCAGGAAGCCTGGTGTAGACTAAATCCTACTTGCCAGGAGGCTCTGCTGAGGTGGCTATTTAGAGGAGCAGAAAGAGCCCTGGACCCCAACTCAGAGGAAGAGTCAGGGCTATGTCTCCAATAGGATGGGAGCAGCAACAGATGGCTTTGCACTTCTGGGTCACGGGACTTCATCTGTGAAATGAGAGGGTGGGAGTGGGCAATTCTTGCAGGAATTTCCCCTACTATTAACATCTCCTGGTACATTTGTTACAATTGATGAGCCAATACTAATACACTATTATTAAGACCATAGTTTACATTAGGGATCACTCTTTGTGTTTTACATTCTATAGCTTATGAGAAACCCACAATGACGTGTATCCATCATTACAGTATCATACAGAATACCTTCACTGCCCAAAAAATCCTCTCTGCTCCACCTATTCATCCCTCCCTTCCCCCAGAGGTCCTAAAGTATGTAGCCTTTTTGGATTGACTTCTTTCACTTAACAACATATATCTAAGTTTCCTCAATGTCTTTACATGTCTCTGCTAGCTCATTTCTATTTATCACTGCATAATATTTGGTTGTCTGGATGTACCACAGGTTATTTATCCATTTAGCTATTAAAAGTCATCTTCCAAGTTTTGGCAATTATGGACAAACCTGCTATAACCATCTGTGTGCAAGTTTTTGTTGAACATATCTTTGTTTTCAATCTCTTTGGGTAAGTACCAAGAACTGCAATTGCTGAAACATGTGGTAAGAGTATGTTTAGTTTTGTAAGATACTGTCGGCCGGGCGTGGTGGCTCACGCCTGTAATCCCAGCACTCTGGGAGGCCCAGGCGGGGGGATCACGAGGTCAAGTTATCGAGACCATCCTGGCCAACATGGTGAAATCCCATCTCTACTAAAAATACAAAAATTAGCTGGGCGTGGTGGCACGCACCTGTAGTCTCAGCTACTTGGGAGGCTGAAGCAGGAGAATTGCTTGAATCCAGGAGGCGGAGGTTGCAGTGAGCTGAGATCGCACCACTGCACTCCAACCTGGCAATAGAGAGAGACTCTGTCTCAAAAAAAAAAAAAGAAAGATACTGTCAAACTGTCATCTAAAGTGGCTATACTATATTGCATTCCTGTCGACAATGGATGGGAGTTCCTGTTGACTCATATCCTCCCCAGCATTTGGTGGTGTCAGTATTTTGAATGTCACCATTCTAATTTGTGTGTAGTAGTATCTCATTGTTATCTCAATTTGCATTTCTCCAATGACATATGATGTGGAGCATCTTCTCATATGCTTGTCATTCTGCATATCTTCTGGGATTAGATGTTTGTTCATATTTTTTACTCATTCTTAAATGTGTTGTTTTCTTCTTGTTGAATTTTAAGGATTCTTTATGTATTCTGGATACTAGTCTTCTATTGGATAAGTGTTATACAAAGATTTTCTCCCAATCTTTGGTTTGTCTTTTTATTGTCTTAACAGTGTCTTACACAGAATGGAAGTTTTAATTTTAATGAATTCCTACTTATCAATTTTTCTTGATGAATCATGCATTTTGATGTTGTACCTAAGGTCATAACCAAAATCAAGGTCAACTAAATATTTTCCTATGTTGTCTTCTAGAAGTTTTATAGTTTTGCACTTTACATTTAGGTCTATGATCCATTTCGACTTAATTTTTGTGACAGGTGTAAGGTCTGTGTATAGATTTATATTTTTGCATGTTGGATGACCAGTTATTCTAGCACCATTTGTTGAGAAGACTACCTTTTCTTTTGAATTGCCCTTGCTTCTGTGTCAGAGATCAGTTCACTACGTACATGTGGGTCTATTTTTTGGCCCGCTGGTATGTTCCATTGATCTATTTTTTTATTCTTTCACCAATACCACACTGTCTTGATCACTATAACTTTATCATAGATTTTGAAGCTATACAGTGTAAGACTTTCAAACTTGTTCTTCTTTAACATTTGTTGGCTAATCTGGATCTTTTGCCTTTTTATATAAACTTTGGAATCAGTTTGTCAATACCCACTAGATAACTTGCTGGGATTTCTATTGGGATTGCTTTTAATCTATAGATGAAATTTGAAAGAACTGACATCTTCACAATATTGAGTCTTTCTATCCATATACTTAGAACAACTCTCCATTTATTTAGATCTTCACTGAATGCCTTCATCACAGTTTGAGTTTTCCTCCTATAGATCTGATAAAATCAGAACAATGATGTGGAGCTATCACTGTCTTTGTTGAAGGAAACAACAAAACATATGTGCTCATTGGGAGAAATATTAGCAAATTATCACACACTCTGATTTGTTTTCTCTTAAATGTCAATTAATAGATGAAATTACAATGTGAAAATAACCATTGTTAACTTGTGTGAAGAAAATATGAGGGAAGATGGCTGACTAGACACAGCCAGGAGGAACAGCTCCCACCAAGGGACCAGGACATTGGGAAGACTGGTGTGCTCCTGGCAGATCTTCAGAGGGAAGGCTTTGAGAGCAGACAGAGGGAAGACACAGATGTTGGGCTGAAGGGGGAGGAAGGCGGGAACCCTGCAAGGGGCAACCGTGCACCAGGACTCATTCCAGGTCCCCAAAATCTCCTGGAGGAGAGGTGAGTTGAACAGGCAAGGGGCAACCTCCTCTTGTCGCAGGCCCCTGAATTCCTGACAGGAGGAGACCCTACAACCACCAGGGACACTTGAGTTGTCAGGAAGACCTGCTTATAAAGTGTTAATGGTAGAATTCCAGACTGTGCAAAGCCCAGAAGGTTTTGTGTGGGAGCATCTGTAGTGGAGAATGGTCAGGGACACCCATTGCCCTAGGCTAAACTTGTTCTCATAGGAGACTTCAGCCCTAGGGGAACTGTCAGACCTGAACTCTGCAGGGCATTCTTGCCCCTGAGACAGGGCCAGTCTGACCTGAGCATCCTTCAGTCTGCTCGCCCCTCCTGGGGCCCCAGCCTGGCCACACCTGCTTGCAGTGCAGCTTCACAGCGGGGTGCAGTGGAGGCTACCTCCTGAGGACCTGCATCATAGTTCCTGTGCTGGCTGACTGTGCCTGACCAGCAGAGATCTGCTGCAGAGTGGCCCCCATGTACACACATCAGCCTAACTGTGCCCTGCCCCCACTGCAGTCTCCCCGTGCCACTTTGCCTGCATGCACTAGCCCACGGCCATCCCCCACATCGTTTTGCCAGTGCATGTGTGTGTGTGTGGACCTTGCCTCCCCTTTCCTGCCACAGTGTGTGTGCCATGCTACTGCTGCCATCCTGAGTGCACTTCACCCTCTCGACCCCCCACCATACTGCCATTACTGTTGGAGCATTGATGAGTGGGCATGAAGCCCGCCAGCCCCGCCCCTGCCAACACCCTGCCCCTGCACCGACACTACCACCAGTGTGACAATAGGCACCGAGAACAGAGGACCCACCCCTGTTCTGAGCGGCTACTACCACCCACGTGAATGTGCAAGGAGAACTCACACAGTCCTGTGCTCACCAGTGCTTCACTCCCATGCTAACACCGCCACCGGCACAAATGCACACAAAGACACAGGGGTGGGGGAGGGGGCAAGCATCCCCCACCCCCAACCCCTGCACCGTGATGCCACAGTTGCTGCTATGAATGCCCACAATGAGGCCAGCATGCTGGCAGCCACTAGCTCCCTGCCGCAGCCAGTGAATGTGCACCACACCTCGCTGCCACTGCTGCTGCTGCTGCTGAAGGTGTGAACCAGGATGGATCTCACTGGCACTGCCCTATGAAGCACTTTGACTGGCACCACCCATCAGAGTGTTGTGACCAGTGGTCTTGGATCATCTTGGTCCTTCCAGCACAGCAGGTTCCTAACCTTTAGGGGCCAGAGACAAAGCCTGGGCCAGAAACCAGTCCCCCAGAGTTAGAGCATGCAGTTTGGGAGTCCTGAGCTGAGCCTGAGCCTCCTAAAATATTCCAGAAATGAAACCAGTCAGTTGAACCCACCTTGTACCAAAACCAAACCCTCAAGGCCATCAAATAGAATAAAATAAAATAAAGCTCAGCCACAGGACATCAACTTAAAAGATTAAAGAAACATCAGCCCACAGAGATGAGAAAGAATCAGCACAGGAATCCTGACAGCTCAAAAGTCAGAGGGCCTTCTTCCCTCCAAATGACCACATCACCTCTCCAGCAAAGATGAGATGGTTGAAGTGACAGAAATGTAATTCAGAATATGGATATGAATGAAGATCATTAAGATTAAGCAGAATGTTGAAACCCAATCTACGGAAGCTAAGAGGCACAATAAAATGATACAGGAGCTGACAGATAAAATAGCTGTAGAGAAAAGAATGTAACCCACCCGATAGAGCTGAAAAACACGCTACAAGAATGTCATAATGCAATGGCAAGTATTAACAGCAGGATAGACCAAGCTGAGGAAAGAATCTCAGAGCTTGAAGACTGGCTTTCTGAAATAAGACAGCCAGACAAGAAGAAAGAAGAAAGAGTGAAAGTAAGAAATCTCTGAGAAACATAGAATTATGTAAAGAGACCGAATCTATGACTCATTGGTGTCTCTGAAAGAGATGGGGAGAATGGAAACTACTTGAAAACATATTTTAGGATTTCATCCATGAGACCTTTCCCAACCTAGCTAAAGAGACCAACATTCAGATTCTGAAAATGCAGAGAACCCTGCAAAATCCTTCACAAGAAAATCATCCCCAAGAGACATGACTATCAGATTCTCCAAGCTTGAAATGAAGCAAAAAAATCTTAAAGGCAGAGAAAAAGTAATGAGAGATAACCTACAAAGGTACAAAGGGAAGTCCATTAGACTAACAGCAGACCTATTAGCAGAAACCTCACAAGCCAGAAGAGGTTGGGAGCCAATATTCAACATTCTTAGATAAATGGAATTCCCACCAAGATTTCAAATCTAACCAACCTGAGCTTCATAAGTGAAGGAGAAATAAGATCCTTTTCAGACAAAGAAGTGCTGAGAAGATTTTTTTTTTTTACCACCAGACATGCCTTATAAGGCTCCTAAAGGAAGTACTAAATATGGAAAGAAAAGCCTGTTACCAGCCACTAAAAAAAAAAATACAGTGAAATACACAGCCCAGTGACACTATAAGGCAACCACATAAGCCAGTCTTTAAAATAACCAGCTAACATTATGATGACAAGATTACATTCACACGTATCAGTATTAATCTTGAATGGAAATGGACTTAATTCCCCAATTTAAAGGCACAGAGTGGCAAGCTGACTGAAAAAGCAATACCCAATGGTATGCTGTCTTTAAAAACCTTATCTCACATGCAATGACATCCATAAATTCAAAACAAAGAGATGGAGGAAAATCTACCAAGCAAATGGAAAACAGAAAAAAAAGCAACTTTAAACCAACAAAGATTAAGAAAGACAAAGAAGGGCATTACGTAATGGTAAAAGGCTCAATTCAACAAGACATTACTATCCTAAATATATATGCTCCCAACACAGGAGCACCCAGATCCATAAAGCAAGTTCTTGGAGACCTTCAGAGACTTAGACTGTCATACAATATTAGTGGGAGACTTCAACACCCTACTGACCATATTAGACAGATCATTGAGGCAGAAAATTAACAAAGATATTCAGGACCTGAACTCAACACTGGACCAATGGACCTGATAGACATCTACAGAACACTCCACCCCAAAACAATAAAATATACATTCTTCTCATTGCCACATGGCACATACTCTGAAATCAACCACACATTGGACATAAAACAATACTCAGCAAATGCAAAAAGAACTGAAATTATACCAACCACACTCTCACACCACAGTGCAGTAAAAACAGAATTCAAGTCTAAGAAAATTGCTCAACACCATACAATTACATGGAACTTAAACAACCTGCTCCAGAATGAGTTTCAGGTAAATAATGAAATTAAGGCAGAAATCAAGAAGTTTTTTGAAACTACTGAAAACAAAGTTACAACATACCAGAATCTCTAGGACACAGCTAAGGCAGTGTTAAGAGGGAAATTTATAGCACTAAAAATCCACATCAAAAAGTTAGAAAGATCTTAAATTAACGACCTAACATCATGACTAAAAGAACTAGAGAAGCAAGAGCAAACTAACCCCAAAGCTAGGAGAAGACAAGAAATAACCAAAATCAGAGCTGAACTGAAGGAATTGAGACATGAAAAACTATTCAAAAGATCAACAAAGCCAGAGCTAATTTTTTGAAAAAGTTAATAAGATAGATAGACCACTAGCCAGAATAATAAAGAAGAAAGAGAGAAGATCCAATTAACACAATCAGAAATGACAAAGAGGATATTAGCACTTACCCCACAGAAATAAAAATAATCATCAGAGAATATTATGAACCCCTCTACACACACAAACTACAAAACCTAGAAGAAATGGATAAATTCCTGGATACATACACCCTCCCAAGACTGAACCAGGAAGACATTGAATCCCTCCACAAACCAATAACAAACTCCAAACTTGAATTGGTAATAAATAGCCTACCAATAAAAAAAAATAAAAATAAAAAAGCCCAGGACCAGATGGATTCACAACTGAATTCTGCCAGCTGTACAAAGAAGAGCTGGTACCATTCCTAGTGAAACTATTTCAACAAATGGAAGAGGAGAGACTCCTCCTCAGCTCATTCTATGAGGCCATCATCATCCTGATATCAAAACCTCTCAGAGACACAAAAATAAAAGAAAACTTCAGGCCAATATCCTTGATGAACATGGAAGCAAAACTTCTCAACAAAATTCTGGCAAACTGAATCCAGCAGCACATCAAAAATTTAATCCACCACTATCAAATAGGCTTTATTCCTGGGATGCAAAGTTGGTTCAACATTTGCAAATCAATCAATGTGATTCGTCACATAGACAAAACTAAAGACAAAAACCACGATTATCTCAATAGACAAAGAAAGACTTTTGATAAAATTTAACATCCCTTTATTTTAAAAACTCTCAATGAACTAGATTAAAGACTTAAATGTAAAACCTAAAACTATAAAAATCCTGGAAGACAACATAGGGAATATCATCCTGGACATAGGAATGGCAAAGATTTCATGACAAAGATGCCAGAAGCAATTGCAATGAAAGCAGATTTGACAAATGGTATCTAGTTAAACTAAAGAGCTTCTGCACAACAAAAGAAACTATCAACAGGGTAAACAGACAACCCACAGAATGGGAGAAAATATTTGCAAATTATGTATCTGACAAAGGTCAAATATCCAGCATCAATAAGAAACTTAAGTAAATTTATAAGAGCAAAACAAACAATCCCATTAAAAAGTAGGCAAAGGACATAAGCAGATGCTTTTCTAAAGAAGACATACATGCGGCCAACAAACATATGAAAAAAAATCCCATTATCACTGATCATTAGAGAAATGCAAATAAAAACCACAATGAGATACCATCTCACACCAGTCAGAATGGCTATAATTAAATGTCAAAAAATTACAGATGCTAGTGAGGTCGCAGTGGGAAAAAAAAACGCTTATGCACTGTTGGTGGGAGTTCAAATTAGTTCAACCATTGTGGAAAGCAGTGTGATGATTCCCCACAGAACTAAAAACAGAACTACCATTTCACCCAACAATCTCATTATTGGGTATATACCCAAAGGAATATATGTCATTCTATCATAAAGACACATGCATGCATATATTCAGAGCAACACAATTCACAATCGCAAAGATTTGGAGTCAATCTAAGTGGCCATCAATGTTAGACTGGATAGAGAAAATGTGGTACATATACACCATGGAATACTATGTAGTCATAAAAAAGAATGAGATCATGTCTTTTGCAGGAACATGGATGGAGCTGGAGGCCATGATGCTTAAACTAATGCAGGAACAGAAAACCAAATACCACATGTTCAAAACCAAATACCACATAATTGGGAGCTAAATGATGAGAACACATGGACACAAAGAGGGGAACAACACACACTGAGGCCTACTTGAGGATGAACGGTGGGAGGAGAGACAGGATCAGGAAAAATAACTATTGGGTACTAGGCTCAGTATCCGGGTGATGAAACAATCTATTTTCCTACATAACAAACCTTCACATGTACCCCTTAATCTAAAATACAAGATTTTTAAAAAAAGAAAATATGAGGAATAGCATACCATTTGGGTTGAGATAAGGAGAAAGAAAACATGCTTCGCTTACAAGATTTTGTTGGAAAACTGCAAAAAAATGTCTTTTACAAAATTGTTAAACATTTTTTTTTTAAATCAACACCACAATCCTTAAGTGCTTTAGTCAAAATACTTGTCAAGTGAGTAAAAAAAACAAATTAGTTGATCTTGCCTCTCCCCAGATTTTAGGTTCTGTCTACACAGGAACTGAGCAATAGATCTTACGTTATGACTTATTTTGGTAAAATAAATGGTCAGCGTAGCAAGAAAATGAGTTTAATTGAAGTTTTTCCTGCCAAAGATTGTAGGTTCCCTCGTTTATAGATACTGTATCATGGAATTTACTTTAGGTAGTTTTTTTTTTTCCTTCTCTGTCTCTGAAAAGACCTTGCATAGTAGTAGGCTTATTTTGGCTTAGTGATTGTCAGCCCTGACTTGATTACTCATTAAAGTAACCTGGAAAGCTTTAAAAATACTGAGGCCAGGCCCCTCCCCACAGATTATATTGAATTGAACTGTGATGGGGCTAGAGAATTAGGATGTTTTTTGAAGCAGCTGGACTTGTGAGTCACTGGTAGCCACACGAAAATATTATTTATTACATGCAGTTGTTTGATTGAATTAAATTTTTGTCTGAATTTCTGACCAGTTTTGATAAAGTATTTCATCCAGTACCCCATGTGCATACAGACTCACTTGTCTACTATAAGAGGAAAGTATTGTGTGACATGTTTTCATGAGTCCCTCACATTTCTGCACACTTTACGAGCAGACACAGACTGCCCTTTGTTTTGACCATCTTTTCAAGCATGTTGGTATCTCCTTCTGGAACAAAGACTAGGCATAGTTAGGGATCTTTACAAGGGATTTGCATTCCCTGAGCTCAGGGCTCGTATCCCGTAATGCATGTGCATTCATCCATCTGAGTCCATCCATGTCCTTCCCGTGGGACTCCAGGGCAAGGACAACTGATACCCTGTTGCTTATGCTGTTTGTTGGTCCATAAATAATAATGTTATTGACTGAGTGTGGTGGCTCACGCCTGTAATCCCAGCACTTTGGGAGGTTCAGGCAGGCAGATCACAAGGTCAGGAGATCGAGACCATCCTGACTAACACGGTGAAACCTTGTCTGTACTAAAAATACAAAAAATTAGCTGGGCATGGTGGTGGGCGCCTGTAGTCCCAGCTACACGGCAGGCTGAGGCAGGAGAATGGCGTGAACGTGGGAGGCAGAGCTTGCAGTGAGCCGAGATCATGCCACTGCACTCTAGCCTGGGCGACAGAGCGAGACTCCATCTCAAAAAAGTAAATAAATAAAATAAAATAATAAAATAATAACAATAATAATAACGTTCTTTGTCTCTGACCTGGGAGTCTTATTTCTTTTGGCAGCATCCATGAGAGTGGCAGGCCAACTTGTTAGATTGTAAGTAGTATAAAATTTCAGACCCTTTACTGTTCTTGCCAGGAAGATGAGTGTTAAATTGGATTAATACTTTGAAAATAAATGCAGAGAAACAATGTCTGGGAATAACTATTAAAAAGACATAATATATAAGGATCTCTGGGGTGTCCCACTTGGTAGAGCTGTAAGGTAACAGGGTGAATGTATCTTCTGAAAAGCCACAGCTTGCCTGTGATGCCACATTACAGGAAGTCATCGCATTTTGCAGGTATTTTGCATTTACGTTTTCTCGCAGCTGAAGGAATAATCGCTGTCTGGAGGTCTTAAAAAATAGATAATTGTCTCTAATACTATATCTTTACTGTTTACATTTCTTGTTATTGAACATCTACATGTCCAGGTGTGGTGGCTCACACCTGTAATCCCAGCAGTTTGAGAGGTCAAGGTGGGAGGATCACTTGAGCCCAAGAGTTCAAGACCAGCCTGGGCAACATAGTGAGACTCCACCTCTACAAAGAAAAAAAAATTAGCCAGGCATGGTGGCATGCACCTGTGGTTCCAGCCACTCAGGAGTCTGAGGTGGGAGGATCACCGGAGCCTGGGAAGTTGAGGCTGCAATGGGTGTGATTGCACCTTTGCACTACAGATTACAGACTGGGACACAGAATGAGACCCCATCTCCGAAAAAAAAAAAAAAAAGAAAATCTACAAAAATATGTGTTTCTGTGGACTAGCTAAATATATTAGTGTTATATTATTAGGGAAATTTGATGAGTTAAACCCATTATTTAAATGCCATAACTAAGGCCACATCACGTCTTTACAGTGTAGTTTTAAACTAGACCATCCAGTTTCTAATGAAGAGACAACTCCGTCAGTTCCGACATGAGCCCAAACAAAACTTTATCCCCCCATAAAGTGGATTACAGATATGCACACACATCAGCAAGGGAAGCATGACAACAGTTCATTTAATGCTGTTATATGCAACCCTATATTGTATTCTGAACACAATGAAAATAAGATGTGGCCCAAGCATGGTGGCTTACGCCTGTAATCCCAGCACTTCGGGAGACCAAGATGGGAAAATCACTTGAGCTCAGGAGTTTGAGACCTGCCTGAGCAACATAGCGAGATCTTGTCTCTGAAAAAATATATTCTTTTAAGTGAAAAAAAAAATAAGATGAGATGTCTGCCCTTCAGCATATAATAATAATAATTTTAGAGCATCTATTCTACACCAGACATTGTGACTAAATGCCATACAAGGCACTGTTATAATTTCCAATGTACATATGGTAGGGCTGAAGTTTAGGAAGTTTAGCTTGTTCAAATGAGAACACATGGACACAGGGAGGGGAACATCACACATCAGGGCCTGTAGGGGGATGAGGGACAAGAGGAGGGAGAGCATTAGGACAAACACCTAATGCATGCGGGGCTTATAACCTAGATGATGGGCTGATAAGTTCAGCAAACCACCATGGCACATGTATACCTATGTAACAAACCTGCACATTCTGCACATGTATCCCAGAACTTAAAAATAAAATAAAATAAAAAAGTTTAGCTTGTTCAGCATCCCATAGTAAGACACTGAGATGCAGGACTCAGGCTCTTAACTGAACAACACCCTATTACACAGATGCTACTTGAAGAAACAGATCAGCCCACCTACCTGACTTGACACCTTATAAATGAAATAGCCCTGTGAGCACACCTCAATGCAATCTCAGAAGATCCTCCCAAGCTATTTCACTTATTTACAAGGGAAATTGGAAATTGTTGCTGTAGCTGACAATATATTTATTGAAAACATTAGAGTGGAAGAAGTAAAGTACAAGTGAATTTGACATTTCAGAACATTTTGGCTTTTTGTCAAAGGTATTTGAAATTGCAAATGAGGCTTTGGCAGTTACTGAAAAGATGTATCAACTGAGTTCAGGAGATGAGTTTTGGGGTCAATCTTGAATTCTCTTCCTAGGGAAGATCTGTGTTGGTGAAGCATAGAGTTTGCAAAGGCATTCCTCTGAATTTGTGCTATTTATACAGAAGAGCTCTCCTTTCCTGTGGATTTCATTTACACGATTGGAAAAATTACCTCTTTATTCGAAATAATCTTTGTGAAATTATATTTTCCAATATATAATAAAAGAGGTGAATCTGGGAAAAGTGTGTAGTAAAAAATTTGACTTGGACATGCCATTAGGTTAAAAGATTGAATTAGGATTTATTTTAAAGATTCAGCATGGCAAAGAGGAAAGTGGCCAACTTTAGGATCTATAAATCCGATGTTGAATACTGGCCTGGCCTCGTCCTCATGCAGTGACCTTGAAGGTTTCTTATGAAAAGAGAACTCTTGTTAGTGCCTGGTATTTGGCTTTTACTCACAAGCTGATCACTGTTGCTCTATTTGTCACTGAGATTTTCATGGTGATAGTGAGGTAATGATGGTGATAATGAGGTTAAATTTTTTAAGTATCTCAGAAATGGGAGAAAATATTACAAGCATTGAATTATAAATGTGTGCCTATTGAGCTTATGCAAGAATAAGGCAGAACTTTCCCTCAAGGTGCATAGGTATTATTGAAGAAATAATACAGACAGAATTACAAACATCGACTATATGATAAACTTTTGAAGTGCACCTTGCGAATAGATCCAAAGGAGGGTTGGGTTTTTGCTAGAAGGATTCATACTCATTTGAACAACTCAATGGAGTATAAATAATTGAAATAAAATACCTTAACATGTTTATTCAATTACCGAAGCCAGTCTTATAAATTATAACACAGAAGCATAGACATATTTTTATTTGGGTATATTGTTTCTTGCCTTTAGGACGTTATAATGAGGTATCACATTTAAACATAAGGCTGACATAAAACGTCAAAACAGATATATGAGGGATATGACTAAAAGTTGTTCTTTCCAAATATAGGTGCACAACTCAAAAATGTCTAACTTATAAGAACTTTCCATCTGTATGAGATTAACCAGTTAACTTGTTATCATACCTAATGAGTACACTCCTGGTATAGTTAACTTTTAAAACAGCTGAACTTTATAATACATGATTATGAGTAGACAATATTTCAGAGATCCTAAAAAGCTTGTTTAAAATGTCTCTTTTGATTAGAATGAAAGATAAACAGTGACAGATGATGCCTATTGTCTCCATGGTAATTACACTAATTAAAAGTAACATGGCTATGCTGTGTAGCTGCCTGGACTTTGAGAAAGACCTCATGCCACAGGGCTGAGGAACATTCCTGTGGATCCCTAGTACACACGGGATCAAAGGGATACCTTAATCTATAGTTTCCTAAAAACAAAGAGTTAAGTTGCTTTTAAAAATTAAAAAATATATATACATTATTTTTATTATTTTAAAAGTATGGAAAGTCACTGGGGAAAGGAGGGGAAAGCATTTATTTTTATACAGTTACTTAATTACCTCCAAAACACAAATTTTGGAAATCATATTTGCTGGTGCAAGTATTTTAATGAACAAGAATCCATATATTGAGGTTATGATTAGAGAGCTCAATGTATGCATTTGCCATCTTGCTTAAGCTCGGCAGAGCATGAAAACCTAAGTTTATTCCCAAAGTATATAACTTCAAATAAAAAAAAAACTTCAAGTTCCAGCCACACACTCTCTCTCTCGCTCCGTACCTCCCTCTTCATCGTCTCTCTATATATCTTACATACTTTAAAGCCCCAGCCAGGTGCAGTGGCTCACACTTGTAATCCCAGAACTTTGGGAGGCCAAGGCAGGTGGATCACCTGAGGTCAGGAGTTCAAGACCAGCCTGGCCAAGATGGCAAAACCCCATCTCTACTAAAAATACAAAAATTAGCTGGGCATGGTGGCACGCCTGTAATCCCAGCTATTTGGGAGGCTGAAGTAGGAGAATTGTTAGAACCCGGGAGGTGGAGGTTGCAGTGAGCCGAGATCACGCCACTGCACTCAGCCTGGGGACAGAGCGAGACTCTGTCTTAAATAAATAAATGAATAAATAAAATAAAATAAAGTCCCACTTCACTTCTCAAATGGGACTTCTGATTAACATTTTGGTTTGTAAACCAGGGAATAACTCCTACATTTTATTCATTCAGGGAGAACAGACTATATGCTGGGTCATATGTTATGTTCATATTTTCTCTGACTCTCATTCATGAAGATGTCTGCCTTTCATTAATTTGTTTTCTTGTCACTCTGTGAAAACATAACTTCAAGACTCACAGACACTGAAAAATACTATTTTTCAACCACTAATTTCTAACGTTGGTGAAGGCAAGCTTCATTTCCCCCAGGAAGCTTTCACTTTGAAGATACAAACTCCCTGAGTGGAACAGGAGTTTTATCTTCACTTTGGAGCTCTAGAGGACCATAGACAGAATCTAGTCCAACATTACAGATAAAGAAACTGAGGCCTAGAGGAGACAGGTGACTTGTAGAAAGGTCCTACAGGGAGTAGCAGAACCCGAACCCACATGCAGTCCACCTAACTCTGAGACCGGGTCGCACTGACAATGCCATGTCCACCTTCATTACAGCACAAAATTCAGGGAATGGGGAGCATCTATAGAGCTCTTGGGAAATAAAACACCAAAGCTTACAGATCCACTGATGAACCCAGTGCTGCATTTATAGACCCACGTTAAGGGTCAAGCACACACGTCAGCTAGTGAAGAAAAGAAATTCTGACCTGGACAGAGTACATTAGCATCCTTATAGTTGCATTTGCTAAATAAGTCTCTTCTAAGCTCAACTCTCTGAAGAACCTCCAGGAGTTATGAGAGGTTTTGAAGAGAAATTGTAATTACTTGGGCCTTGACGAAAAGGATGAAAAAAGGTCTTTAATAGTTTTGTGAAGGAACAAGAGGATTTTGTTCATGGCCATAAAAACTAAACTCAGCAAAGGAGAAAACATAAGGCAATGGAGAAAAAACAGCCTTCTCAACAAACGGTACTGAAACAATGGGACATCCACATGAAAAAATGAGTCTAGACAAAGACCTTATGAGCTTT
Organism: Homo sapiens; assembly: GCF_000001405.40. Classification (NCBI taxonomy): domain Eukaryota; kingdom Metazoa; phylum Chordata; class Mammalia; order Primates; family Hominidae; genus Homo; species Homo sapiens. The sequence goes on along the minus strand of NC_000009.12, from coordinate 38,982,254 downwards.
GCAAAAATTAACTCAGAGTAGATCATAGACCTAAATGTAACATGCAAAACTGTAAAATCCTAGAGGATAACATCAGAGAAAACCTGGATGACCCTGGATACGGTGATGACTTTGCAGATGATCCAGGAATTGCACTCCTTGCTATTTACCCAAAGGAGTTGAAAACTTATGTGCACACAAATACATTCACACAGACATTTATAGCAGCTTTACTCATATTTGCCAAAATATGGAAGAAACCAAGATGTCCTTCATTAACTGGCTGAATAAAAAAACTGTGGTACATTCAGGCAACACCAATGAAAGAAATATTTTGTAAGCTAGAATTTATTAAAGTTAAAAACTGGCTGTGCATGGTGGCTCACGCCTGTAATCCCAGAATTTTGGGAGGCCAAGGCGGGTGGATCACCTGAGGTCAGGAGTTCAAGACAAGCCTGGTCAACATGGTGAAACCCTGTCTCTATTAAATATACAAAAATTAGCTAGGTGTGGTGGCCGGCACCTGTAGTCCCAGCTACTCAAGAAGCTGAGGCAGGAGAATTGCTTGAACCCGGGAGGTGGAGGTTGCGTGAGCTGAGACACCACCACTGCCCTCTGGCCTTGGCGACAAAGCAAGACTCCATCTAAAAAAAAAAAAAAACCATAGATACTATGAGAATGAGAAGACAAGTCACAAACTGGGACAAAGTATATTCAAAAGTCATGTCTGATAGAGGACTGTTATCTGAGTTATATAAAGGACACTTAAAGCTCAACAATAAGAAAACTAACAACCCGATTTTTAAAAGGGCAGAAGACCTGAAAAGATGCCTCATCCAAGAAGATATACAGATGGCAAATGAGTATATGAAAAGATGTACAACATCATATGTCACTGGAAATTGCAAATCAAAACAACAGAGAGACACCACTACACACCTATTAGAATGGCTTAAATCCAAAACACTGACAACACTAAAAACTGGCAAGGATGTGAAGCAACAGGAATTTTCATTCATTTCTGGGCAATGCAAAATAGTACAGCCACTTTAGAAGAGAGTTTGGCAGTTTTAAAAAAACTAGGCCAGGCGCGGTGGCTCACGCCTGTAATCCCAGCACTTTGGGAGGCGGAGGCGGGCAGATCACGAGGTCAGGAGATCGAGACCATCCTGGCTAACATGGTGAAACACCATCTCTACTAAAAATACAAAAAAATTAGCTGGGTGTGGTGGTGGGTGCCTGTAGTCCCAGCTGCTGGGGAGGCTGAGGCAGGAGAATGGCGTGAACCCGGGAAGGCGGAGCTTGCAGTGAGCCGAGATCGCGCCACTGCACTCCAGCCTGGGCGACAGAGTGAGACTCCGTCTCAAAAAAAAAAACAAAAAAAACTGAACATATTCTTACCAGATGATTTAGCAATTGCATTCCTTGATATTTCCCCAAAGGAGGTGAATACTTGGGTCCACACAAAAACCTGCACACAGATGTTTACAGCAGTTTTATTCATAATTGCTAAAATGTGGAAGCAATCAAGACGACCTTCAGTAGCTGAATGGATAAATAATCTGTGGTACATCCAGACAATGGAATATTATTCAACCTAAAAAGATGAGACCTATCAAGCCATGAAAAGACATCAAGAAACCCTAAGTGGACATTACTAAGTAAAAGAAACCCAATCTGAAAAGGCTAACTACTTTTGATTCTAAGTGTATGGCATTCTGGAAAAGGCAAAACTTTGGAGACAGTAAAAAGATCAGCATTTGCCACTTGTTAGGGAGGAGGGAGAGATGAATAGACAAAGCACAGAGGCTTTTGGGGCACTGGAACTATTCTGTATAATACTATAACGGTGGATACATGTCACTACACCTTTGTCAAAACCTATATTATGTACAACGCCAAGATTAAAATCTGTTGCAAACTATAGACTCTGGATGATAATGATGTATCCATGTAAGTTGGTTGTGACAAGTGTACCACTCTGGTGAGGGGTGCTGATTGATCACGGGGGAGGCAGTGCGTGTGTGGAGGCATAGGGTATATGAGAATTCTCTGTACTTTCCACTCTGTTTTGCTGTGAAACTAAAACTATTCTGTGGAATAAAGTGTATTGTTTTTCTTAAAAAGGTAAACTTAGCCGGGCGCGGTGGCTCACGCCTGTAATCCCAGCACTTTGGGAGGCCGAGGCGGGTGGATCACGAGGTCAGGAGATCGAGACCATCCTGGCTAACAAGGTGAAACCCCGTCTCTACTAAAAATACAAAAAATTAGCCGGGCGCGGTGGCGGGCGCCTGTAGTCCCAGCTACTCGGGAGGCTGAGGCAGGAGAATGGCATGAACCCGGGAAGCAGAGCTTGCAGTGAGCCGAGATTGCGCCACTGCAGTCCGCAGTCCGGCCTGGGCGACAGAGCGAGACTCCGCCTCAAAAAAAAAAAAAAAAAAAAAAGGTAAACTTAGTTTAAACCTAATGTGAGACTTAATCATTATCAAAAAAAGGGAAAATGCTTCCAATTGAGAATTCCTGGAATTTACTGGTGTTTAGTAAAATTAAAGGCCAATGATGAAGAAAGTTAAGGTCTGCCACAGGCTGGATATCTTGTAATGACTTTCTTTATAACTAGTGTATTTTGAAAAGTAAAAGAACTTTATGGGTAGCGAAAACTTAATGAAAATTGCAACCGTCTCATTAGATGGTATCACAGGCATTTAGGTATGTTCAAAGGTCTATGGTTGGGCCGGGTGAGGTGGCTCATGCCTGTAATCCCAGCACTTTGGGAGGCCCAGGTGGGCGGATCACGAGGTGAGGAGATCGAGACCATCCTAGCTAACATAGTGAAACCCTGTCTCTACTAAAAATATACAAAAATTAGCTGGGCCTGGTGGCAGGCGCCTGTAGTCCCAGCTACTCCGGAGGCTGAGGCAGGAGAATGGCGTGAACCCGGGAGGCGGAGCTTGCAGTGAGCAGAGATCCCGCCACTGCACTCCAGCCTGGGCGATACAGCGAGACTCCGTCTTAAAATAAATAAATAAATAAATAAACAAAGGTCTATGGTTTACTAAAAGAGTGATATTCCAATTCAATTATATTTAACGTTTTGGTGAGACATATTTTTAAAAACATGAACCAATAAAACCAAACAGTTTTACTTTAAAAAGTACAAGTTAACTAAGCATGCTAACACATTTCTCAAGAGATGGATGAAACCCCACACCTAGTGGGGTCTAGCAAAAAAAAAAAAAAAAAAAAAAAAAAAAAAAGAAGTGCCCATTTTTGGGAATAAAAAGTATTTACCCCAGTCTTTTTTTTTGTTTTGATAAGGAGTCTGGCTCTGTCGCCCAGGCTGGAGTGCAGTGGCGGAATCTCAGCTCACTGCAAGCTCTGCCTCCTGGGCTCACGCCGTTCTCCTGCCTCAGCCTCCCTACCCCAGTCTTTACTATTTAATACAAGATGTCTAGATTTAAAATGAATTACAAGCTACACAAAAAGGCAAGAAACAACCCATTTCCAAGTGGCCGAGCAATCATCAAAACCACACTCAACACTCAGCTCTGACACAAGTGTTTGTTAGAATTTTCTGATAGAAAATTTAAAAACAACTGTAATTAATATGGTAAAAGCTCTAATGAAGAAACTGGCACCATGCAAAATCAGATGAGTAATTTCAGCAGAGATATGGAAACTATAATATGAATAAAATGGAAATGCTAGAAATAAAACTTTGGTAACAGAGATAAAGAATTCCTTTGATAGACTCGTCAATAGACTTCATGTAGCCAAGGAAAGACTCTTGCACTTAAGAAGGGAATCAATAGAACTCGCCCAAACTGAAATACAGAGGAAAACAAGAATGGGGAAAAAATAGAACAGAGCATTCAAGAACTAGGGATATCTATTCCATGTTATTAAACAATCTAGTACAGATATAATTGGAATCTGAGAGACATATGTGAAGAAGTAATGTCCAAGAATATTCCAGAAGTTAACAACAGACTGGAAACCACAAATCCAAGAAAATTGGAGAACATCAAACAAGGAAAATAAAACATAACAACTTGGGTATATAATTGTCAAGCTATTAAAAACAAAAGGCTTCTTCTCCAGATTTCTATATGTTTTTAAGGAATTAAAGGAAAGGCCTTCTGAAGAAACCATAAAAGCCATTACTTTCTTTTGCAAAGGACAAAACTTAAGCAAAGAACTAACTTAAACATGAAGAGGAATTGACTGTCTCATATAAATGAAAAGTAAGATATATTTTCTAATCCAGAATATTTCTGGATTCAGGAATTAAATAGTATCATCAGGATTGTGTGATTCTGTTGCTGACATCTGCCTTTCACCCTGCTGGGGCCCAGAAACCCATACACCAAAATACAGTGCTTTGACATGATGAACTCCAGAAGAAACTTCAAGGTCTCTTTTTTTTTTTTTTTTTTTTTTTGAGACGGAGTCTCGCTCTGTCACCCAGGCTGGAGTGCAGTGGCACGATCTCCTCTTACTACAAGCTCCACCTCCCAGGTTCACGCCATTCTCCTGCCTCAGCCTCCTGAGTAGCTGGGACTACAGGCGCCCGCCACCGCACCCGGCTAATTTTTTGTATTTTTAGTAGAGACGGGGTTTCACTGTGTTAGCCAGGATGGTCTCGATCTCCTGACCTTGTGATCCGCCCACCTCAGCCTCCCAAACTGCTGGGATTACAGGTGTGAGCCACCACGCTCGGCCACTTCAAGGTCTCTTTGACCTTCCCTCCTCTCCTTTCTCTCCCAAAGCACGAGATAAAGTTGTTCTCTGAAGTTTCTTTATAGGCCTAAAGTATGGAACTAACATAGAAGAAAACAATTACCTCTGGTATTCTCCCTGAGTTTTCCTTAACTGAAATCGTATTGAAGGAAGAAAGACTGAAGTCTGCCAACATATCTGGACAGACTTTTGTCACAAACCATTGTCTGCTCTGTGGGCCCGACACACTTGGTCCCAGGTCATTGTATGTTCTTCAAACCCATTGAATCTCCCCCAAAATTATTTACTACCCTTCTAAAATCATTCACACTTCCCTACTTCTCTTTCCCTTAATAAGAGTGAATAATCACCTGTACCCCAATTTGTGGTGGAGCAATCATTCTGTGATTCTCTCTCATATACCCTAGTAAATGTATACGCCATTTATCTCACTAATCTGCCTTTTGTGAGTTGATTTTTCAGTCAATCTACTGAAGGCAAAAAGATAAGCTTTCCCTTGGCCCCTAACTCTATTGGTCAATAGAGTGTGATACTGAAGGATTTGATACAGAATCAAAAATCAATGGTTAGATCATGTCATAGATCCTCCACTTTGATCAATATAGCTTTAAATTCTCTGGGAGTGATTCTTAACTAATGATGGTCATCAGAGTCACGTGGGAACAATTTCTGAAGACAGATTCCAAGATCATATGAATACAAGAATAGGGCTTGAAGATGCACATTCCCAAAATCTCTTCATGGAATTCTGATGACTTCCCTTTTTGTAAACTAGGTTTTTTGAACCCTGTCTACCTCTTAATGTCTATCCAAGAGAAGACAAGATAAAGACCTTTGAAATAATGCTTAAGATTTGCATAATCAGCCAGGTGCAGTGGCTCATGCCTGTAATCCCAGCACTTTGGGAGGCCGAGGTGGGCAGATCACAAGGTTGGGAGATTGAGACCATCCTGGCCAACACGGTGAAACCCCGTCTCTACTGAAAATACAAAAACAAAAAAATTAGCCGGGTGTGGTGGCGGGCACCTGTGGTCCCAGCTACTTGGGAGGCTGAGGCAGGAGCATGGCATGAACCTGGGAGGCAGAGCTTGCGGTGAGCCAAGATCGCGCCACTGCACTCCACCCTGGGAGACACAGCGAGAGTCCGCCTCAAAAAAAAAAAAAAAAAAAAAAGATTTGCATAATGTTAATCATTGTCTAGCTATGCAGATTCTATTAACAGTTTCCAGAAAAGCAACCTGTTCTGGATGTTATTACATGTTTAAGTTAAATGAGCTCTCTTCTTTTAAAAGAAACAGAACCAAGAACCAATGACTTTCAGAGAATGATTAACTCTCCAACAATAGCCCCTGCCAAAAGTAATGTGACATGAGAGTCTAGAAATTATTTTCTACACTGAAATAAAATTTGCATTATACTGGCAATAAACTATTTCTAGATGCATGAAAGTATCTGCATAGTCAAAAGGCTTAGGGAAGTCTCTCCTGGAGAAAAGCATCCCCAGATGAACGTACTTCCTCTGTAATGGGTGATGGGCAGAACAGAAACACCTGAGCACCGGACTGGAGGTGAAAAGTCCTATGTGGGACTGATTAGATTTGGAATCTTGGAAGTTACAAGTCATTTATGAAGTCTCAGATTACCATATGTAAAATGAAGGGTTTTTAATGAATGGCTGCAATCTAGAGTTTCTATTCACAAGTGTTCTTAAATGTGCTGATTCTAATTGGGGTTAGAAAGATGAGCCCCTGACTTCCTCCCTGAGCCCCTGATTTTTGCTAGCCTGTTGCTTTTCTCTGTACTAATTTCCTCTTCCACAGTTTTTATAACAACAGTGTTAAAAAGGCTAATTGGCTGGAGAAGTATGGCAGATAGCGCAAATTCCAATAGAAGAGCCAATAAGAAGACACTTTACAGAGGAGTTGACTGATGAGCACAGGGACCTTGGGAGCTCTAAGCATGCCAAAAGTTTAGGTTGTAAGAAGGAAGGTTTAGCAAACAGAAGATTTCAAGGGCTTTGTGGTCTGTGTTAAGGGTTTTGGGGTTTGTCCTGTGGAGCCACAGGGATGAAATGGAAACCATTACACTCCCTCTGCCTCTCTTGGTTCATGTGTCCAAAAATGACCCACTCAAGCTCCAGTGCCTCTTGCCTGATGCCTTCCTTCATCACTTGCTGGATACACTGTCCTGAAACAGTGACTTTGTCACGCTTTCATTTTTCAAAAACATATTCCTAATGTAGAGAGTCTGGAGAGGAGCAATGGTAAAGGCAAGAAAACGAGTTTGCAAATTGTTGTAAATGATTCATAAAATAGATATTGATGTTGTTAATTAAGGCAGCAGCCTGGGATAAAGAGTCGTCCATGAGTTTGAGAGATGTTAAGAAGGTAGAGTAAGCAGTACTTTCTTTTTTTTTTTTTTTTTTTTGAGACGGAGTCTTGCTCTGTCACCCAGGCTGGAGTGCAGTGGCACGATCTCAGCTCACTGCAACCTCTGTCTCCTGGGTTCAAGCAATTCTCCTGCCTCAGCCTCCCGAGCAGCTGGGACTACAGTCGCACACCACCACGCCCGGCTAACTTTTGTATTTTTAGTAGAGACGGGGTTTCACCATATTGCCCATGCTGGTCTCGAACTCCTGACCTCATGATCCACCCGCCTCGGCCTCCCAAAGTGGTGGGATTACAGGCGTGAGCCACCGCGCCCAGCCAGTACTTTCTTATTAACTGAATATCGAGGTAGAGGATGAGTGGCAGGAGAGATAGTGAAAAAAAAGCTCAGGGTAACTCCACGTCTGACTTACATAACTGAAGGGACATAATGCCATTTATTAAAACAGGGATGTCTGCAAATTATTTGATTGAGGAAACAGAGAAAATGAGTTCAGTTTTGCATATCTGTTTTTGAGATGTTTGTCTTTGGTGCTTAACTATTTGTATAGCATTTGCCCAGGAGATAGAACTGGCCAGAGATTTGGGGTTATCGCCAACTGAGACCAATAAGTAGTTTAGATCCTCACTATTCAAAGTGTGGTGTATGGCCCAGGAGCATGGACATCATTTGAAAGCTTGTTTGAAATGCACGATTTCATCCTTCATCCCAGACCTATTGAATAAGAATATGCATTTTAAGATTCTCAGATAATTTATATGTACATTAAAATTGGAAACCACTGGTTTACATTACTCAGAAGAATACATTGTGAAAAATAAGCTCAAGGATGGAACATGAGAGACATCACATTCAAGAAGCAGGCAGGAAGAATGGTTAGCAATGGAGACCAAGGAGGCACATTCAGAGACCTTAGAAGAGGGTGTGGAAAAACGGTATCATGGAAGCCAGGGAAAGACAGGGTTACAAGATGAAAGGCTTAACACCTGAAAATTCCAGAGTCAGATGAGCTCGGATCTGACTACTGAGGAATTGACGGCTTCAATGTTTATAAGAGTGCGTAGACCCAAGGAAGTGGGTGGAGACCTAACAAGGAAGTGATGGAAGACTTTTTTTTTGGAGAAGTTTGGCCTTGAAGAGGTAATGGCCGTGGCTGAGGGAGAGAGTGGGTGGATAGAAAGCAAGGTCTGAAATGTAGAATTGGTTTTTCTCTTCACAGGAAAAAATGTTGATCATGTTTATAAATTGAAAAGATTAAAAATATATGAAAGGGAAGACTGATGTTAATAATTGGACAGCATCTTGATTATGACTGAGTAAACAATGTGAGGATGGACTGCCTTTGAGCAGAAGGGTTTTTCCCTCCAAGCCTTCTCAGGTTAGAAGACAAGAACGTGAGCGTGATTGCATGCAAATATGGGTAATATCTTGATGTGGTTGGTTGTTTTAGAGCATGACAATGGAGAGACTTTCTGGCTGATAATCAAATTTTCTTTGTGAATGAAAGGCAAAATCTTCTGAGGGGTGGTGAAGATTTGGTAGAGCCATAGGAGAAATGGAAGAGGATGCTGGAAGTTCTGCAAAGCTGCTCCCGTGGCTGTAAATCATGAGACCAACCTCACTTGGTGGGTGAATTCTTGTGGCAACACTCTATAGCCCAGGGACAGGAACGGGAAAAGTCATGGTTGTTTTGATCCAGTTTGAAAGTTGGAGTGTTATGGGTTGAAGCATGTGGAGAGTGCTGATGAACACGATCAGAACCAAAGAGAACAGATTGAAGCTTTGAGGGGGAAACTTGAAAGGGAGTGGAGGGACTGGCAGGATAAGTGAGATGAAAGTGGACACAGTTTAGAGTTTAGAATTTAGAAGGGAATTAGTTCTCAGTACTGGTACCACCTAGTGTGGAGTGGGTAAAGAGACCAGTGAGGGAAACTGAATATAATAGGGTTTCAAGTTACAATCCTGTCAGAATCAGTTTAGAAGTCGTCTTCCAGACTCCAGTAGCCAAGAGACTTCACATCCGAGGCAGGAAAATCTCTGAAAGTATGAGTTCCAGTTTTCTTGTTTCTTATCACCTGCCTTTGAGTGAGTCATGTCACTCAAAGGCAGGTGATGAGGACTTGGAGACACTTGGAGTTCAATGGGCCTGACCCACTGAGTTGCAGATAAAAATTCACTTCTTTATTTAATTCTTAACCAATTAAATATGCAGTGAGTATGTAGGGTACTCAAAAATGTATTTCAACAGTCATCAGAGCTGCTATAAAGACCACTGAAATATGTCTTAATTATCACAGTTTGTCTAAGAAGAGAAGGCTAACACATTTGAAATACGTACAAGAGACTACGTAATTACAGGTAATTGCCAAATTATAAATATTGACTATGGGACAGGAGCAGTGGCTCACACCTGTAATTCCAGCACTTTGGGAGGCTGAGACGTGCAGATCACGAGGTCAGGAGATCGAGACCATGCTGGCTAACATGGTGAAACCCTGTCTCTACTAAAAATACAAAAAATTAGCTGGGCGTGGTGGCGTGCACCTGCAGTCCCAGCTACTTGGGAGACTGAGGCAGGAGAATGGCATGAACCTGGGAGGCAGAGCTTGCAGTGAGCTGAGATCATGCCACTGCACTCCAGCCTGGTGACAGAGTGAGACTCCATATCAAAAAAATAAAAAAATATATAAATAAATAAATAAATAAATATTGACTATGCAAGTTATAGGAGGTTATAGGAGTTCATGTGACTAAGTAAATCAAGGGGAGGAGTGTAATCAAGGCATCTGTCCCCCTGATAGGTAGACTTTGAATGGGTAGAGGAAATAAGAATGGGCAGGCATCTAAGACAGGCCAAATGCCCCAAGGCATAAATGAACATGGTATGTTTGTGTGGAAGAAAAGGGATGGGCCAAATAGATCTGAGGTGCTGAGTTGAAGTGTGTCAAATGATGCTTCTGTAAGGTGTGATAAGGTCAGATTATAGAAGGCTGTGCTAACCTAATGGAGAGAAAAGCTCACAGATAATAAAATGAGGGAGTCACTAGGTCTAAGCAGAGATAAAGAAATACAAACTTTCACAGATTATAAGCAATAGAAGATATTCTTTAAAAAATTAAATGCATACAAATGAAAATATCTGCATAAGAAGACTAGAGCTATATAAGGAACACAACGAAGTTGGGAAATATTGTGAATAATACTACCATCATGAAGACAACTCTCTATATTAAGTAAGTTATTTCAAAAAATAGGAGGAAATTCAAGAGCAGTAAAAAACAAAAGGAAAAAACTCTATTGTCAAGATCACATATGAGATAATGTAAATAGTTTAAAAAGTGGGAAAAATTTTATCTATCTAATAACCATAGACATGCAAGTTACAGTAGTTCAAAGCACCATTTTATGTCTAATTACTAATAAAATCTCTCTGAAAAGATAAGCCTTTCCTGGCAGTCCTGTGGAGAACGGGATGCATCATGTGCTACTTGTGACCTTGTAACCTAATGGGTGCATTCAGAAAGTAACATACAGATGCTATATAATTTATAAAAATTTCATCTTCCTTTAACTAATATCTCACTACCAGGAATTTATCCTAAGACAAGTTTTTTTTCTTTTTTTTGAGACAGAGTCTCGCTCTGTCACCCAGGCTGGAGTGCAGTGGCGCAATCTCCACTCACCGCAACCTCTGCCTCCTGGGTTCACACGATTCTCCAGCCTCAGCCGCCTGAGTAGCTGTGATTACAGGTGCTCGCCACCACACCCGGCTAATTTTTTGTGTTTTTAGTAGAGACGGGGTTTCACTGTGTTAGCCAGAATGTTCTCGATAAATCTCCTGACCTTGTGACCTCCGCCTCCCAAAGTGCTGGGATTACAGGTGTGAGCCACAGCGCCCGGGCGTTTTCGCTTGTTCAAGTGATTCTCCTGCCTCAGCCTCCTGAGTAGCTGGGATTACAGGCACCCACCACCACGCCTGGCTAATTTTTTGTATTTTTAGTAGAGACGGGGTTTCACCGTGTTAGCCAGGATGGTCTCGATCACCCGACCTCATGATCTGCCGGCCTCGGCCTCCCAAAGTGCTGGGATTACAGGCGTGAGCCCCCTTGCCTGGCCCATAGTATGTTTTATAAGTGTTCTGAAATCAAGTAATAAGAGTTTTTTTTAATGAAGGTGAGATAAGTTTCTGGCAAATGTAGAACTTGAGAATTAATGAAGTGTATACTTCTCATTTTCTACTCTAACCTTTTGAAATTAATACAATTTGAACATGAAATATTTCCATGAAATTACAAGAGAACTTTGATGTTTGTTTCTGCATTCTGGGCTCCCAGAAACATGGTGTAGCATGGTCTGACCTGCATATCTTTGGAAATTTATAATAGGTTTCATTGTCTGATCTTAACCAAAACCCAATCCTTAATAAAATAGCCCAGTATATATATGGTTTTTTTCCTCTACTAAATGAATTACAATTCTCTGCTAGCTACCAGCACAGGGAAAATTAAAGAGAAAACCTTTCTTTCCTTACAGTGCATGAATTCTACCAGTGTGGAAGAGTGAGAAGAACCCAAGCTTCAGAGTTTTACAGCCACAGGATCAGATTTTAGTCTATTCCACTACCCAAAACTAGGCAAGTTTTCTGGGGTCATCTAGCCTCTATGACCTCATCGGTAACAACAGGCTTCACTGTGGCTTAAGTGAGATAATGAGTAGAAATGGAATGGTTTGGGCCAGGCACAGTGGTTCACGCCTGTAATCCCAGCACTTTGGGAGGCTGAGGTGGGCAGATCACCTGAGGTCGAGAGTTTGAGACCAGCCTGACCAACATGGAGAAACCCCATCTCTACTAAAAATAGAAAATTAGCCGGGCATGGTGGCATATGCCTGTAATCCCAGCTACTCAGGAGGCTGAGGCAGGAGAATCGTTTGAACCCAGGAGGCGGAGGTTGTGGTGAGCTGAGATTGTGCCATTCCACTCCAGCCTGTGCAACAGGAGCGAAACTCCATCAAGAAAGAAAGGAAGGAGGGAAGGAAGGAAGGAGGGAGGGAGAGAGGGAGGAAGGAAGGAAGGAAGGAAGGAAGGAAGGAAGGAAAAAAAAAAAAAGAAATGTAATAGTCTGGTAGGGTGATTCCCAAACTGCTGCACATTAGAATGAAGTGGGAAGCTTTTAGAAACACAGCGTCCACATTGCACGCAACATCCATGAAGTCAAAATATTAGGCATGGGAACCAGGCATCAACAGTTTTTAAAGATCCAAGATGATTCCATTGTGCAGCAAAATTTGGAAACCAGTGCCTAGCACAAAGCAGGTACTCAGCAAAAGTCAACTTTCTTTATCTTTCAATGTGTGGTGTATTTGCCAGCTTTCGGGTAGCACTTCCTTATCTTCAATCCTTAAAACTCTGCAGCAGAGTGGCACTGCATAGGTAAATGCTACACTGACATCTTGCTGCATGCCGCACTTTACTGCAGTGGAAAATAATGAGGAGCTAGCCAATACCCATTATTAAAGTGTCACACAAGTGTTTCATCCCATCCAGTCACATTTTCCAGGGGCTTCCAATTCACACTTTCGTAAATGCGGCCGTTTCCTCTTCCTGTGACTTAGATGAGATGGAAACAGACATGCTCTCAAGTATCATATTAGCTTTTTTTCAGAACTTCTTTAGTTTTCTGGTGAGGCATCTGTGCCTCCTAGAAATGCACTTTAGACCCTGCTATACAGAAAAGTAAATTTTCTTACAACTGGTCTGAAGCATATGTATTATTCTTTTAGATCTGATGTATCAAATGCCCACGGCCCTAGGTATGCCTGTGTTTCTTTAATCTATAATGATCATTTTATACAATGTTCTGGCACCTTGCCCAGCACACTCCTTTACCTATAGCAGGTTTAGCAGGCTGGGTAATTGCCCCTTTTAAAGTTGTCTGCACTCAACACTGCCCTGTCTGGTAAATGCAATTAGAAGCAAATCCTTGGGTGTATCACCCCAGACTTTTTATTAAGCTCATATGGCATTCTCATTGCCACTATTTCTCACCAGGTTACTCATTAACCACGGGCAGCCAAAGGTCTGGATCATATCAGACGGTGACTTTCCGACCCATGAGACTCCCTTGTTCACCTTAAATATAAACCACATAGAGAAGAAACTGGGGATTTGCATGCCTGAAAGCTGACGGTGGCCATAACAAAAGCAATAAACAGAAATCCTAGAGATAGTGATGACAGAAGAAATGTCAAGGAGTTAGAGGGAGCACTTTGTGTTGGCACTGAAAGCAGCCAGAAGAAGACTCAGAGTGAGACAGAAGTTGACTCATGCAACAAACCTTCACCACTGACAGTCAAACAAAATGACTGAGGAGCGTCTCAATCATGTTAGAGGTTTATTTTGACAAGGTTAAGAACGCACCCGGGAAAAAGGAACACAAAACCACAAGAACAATCTGTGATCCATGCTTTTTCCGAAGAGGGCCTGCGAATTTTAGTATTTAATGGGAAAGAGCAGGCAGTAGGAGAAAGAGGAAGAAAAGAAAAAAGGGGGAGGGTAGATAAAAGGGGCAGGCAGTTGCATTCTGTTGAGTCTTTGATCAGTGTGCACTGAATCCACATTTCACATGTCAAAGGAAGGGGTAGAGAAATAGTCAATTATGCATTCATCTCACACTCAGTGAATCTGCATTTTTACATAAGATAAAATAAACATAAAGTAGAGGAAGTAATCAGATATGCATTTGTGAACCCAGAAAATCTGAGACAGGTCTCAGTTAATTTAGAAAGTTTATTTTGCCAAGGTTGAGGACGCATCCATGACACAGCCTCAGGAGGTCCTGATAGCATGTGCCCAAGGCAGTTGGGGCACAGCTTGATTTTTACATTTAGGGAGACATGAGACATCAATCAATAGATATAAGAAGTACATTGGTTGGGTCTGGAAAGGCAGAACAACTGGAAGCAAAGGCAGGAAGACTCAAAGCTGGGAGGGAGCTTCCAGGTCACAGATAGGTGAGACACAAACAGTTACATTCTTTTCAGTTTCTGATTAGCCTTTCCAAAGGAAGTAATCAGATATGACTCCTTTGGTGCCGGGCGGCGGGTGGGGGGCGCTTTTAGTTCTATCCTTTGTCCTTTGTTCCGGGATCTGTGAAGATAGCTGTTCTCTTGCATTTTCTGGGTGAAATTCAACAGAACTGTTTTAGGGTAAAGATCTTGGGACCCACAAAGAATTTCGTTTTGAGCAAATTGTGAGAGAGGCATGTATCCTTTTAGATCTGTAGCTGTCTTATTTAGGAACAAAATGGGAGGCTGGTTGGCATGACCCAGTTCTCAGCTTGACTGTTCCCTTCAGCTTAGTGAGTTTGGGGTCCAGAGATTTTATGTTCCTTTTACAGCACTCAGGAGGAACTGAGCATAAGCCTATTTCTCACAGCTTTGAGGAGCACTAACTGAAGTGCTCAGTTAGCAGCATTTGAATTAATTATTTCACAGCTCATCCTTAACCAAATTATTTTTTAAATGATTCTAAAACTGGAGTTTTACCTTAAGCTTAGTATTTTGAGGTAATCTTAGCAGCAGGTGGACCTTAGCTCACTAAGAGCATGAGAGCTCTTAGTCACCTCACTCATCAGTGGCTTGGCTCCTCTTTCGGAAGGCATAAAGAACCTCATCCATCAGTGCCCACATACTCCTGTAAGCGCAGGCCCCTGTTCTTTGCTTCTGGGAAGCATCCATCTGGTCCTGTATTGCTGTCGTTCCTTTTCTGTCTGTTTTCCTATGCAAACCAATCTATCATTCTATTTTGTTGCCCCATTTCCAAGTCACTTGACCAGATGGATAACCACATAAAAATGGCTAAATAATTTAAGCTTAAAAATTAGGAGCAGGAAATAATGTAAACTGGAATAGTAAGAAAATGCTGAAGGTGAGACTTGTGGAGGGCTGGCATTGTGGACGTCTTTAAGATATAAGACTTTATTATAACAGTCAAAGCAAAGGGGACACGTAATTAATACAAGACTTTTTATCAAAGAGGAAAAGCTGTCATTTTCTCAGGAATCTAATACTATTCTAAGACTTAGGTTTAAAATGTATCAGGAGTGCCTTCTAAGTGACTGTGGAAAGGGGGAAATAGTAACTATATATTTTGAATGAGTGATTCTAGATCGTGGCTTCTATTTTATGCCTACTCTTCTCCCCTTGTCTCTTGTAAACTCACTTACAACCAGATCATAATAATAAAACTAGAATGCAGAGTGGCCATACAGTACAGTGACTAAGCACGCCAGCTCTGAAGCCAGACCTTTTGGTTGGGATCTCAATACTGTTAATTTCCTCATTTGAAAGACCAGGGTAATATAATCCTTCAAGAGAGGGTTGTTATTAGGGTGGACCTGATAAATAGGGTGGACCATATAATTTGTCATACAGATGGATGCTTTAGAAAGTGCGATAATGTTTACTTGTCAAATTATTATCATGCTATTTTGACTATATTTTCTTATATGCTTTACTTGGAATATTTAAATTAGCCCATATGTAACTAGAGTCTAAAATCCATAGTTCAGGGAAATTGTGGTTGTATTTTGTCCCTTTAAAAAACACAGGGGCATTGGTGCCTAAATCATTGACCCCTGCAAAATGCAACAGGTTGCGTGGAAGTGAAACATAATGCCTCCAACCTGCTAGTTATTTACACATGTTGACCTAAGGAACACACAAGCCAGATATTCTTTAGGTTGTCTCTTTTTATTGTTAGACCACTGAATGGCAAAGTACTTGGTCTGCATTAGATTTATTTACTGTTAAAAGATTTTCAAGAAACTACAATTTAATAACATGTCCCTGAATTTTTTTCACGAGTTGAAATAATAAATATACAGTATCTATTCATCTATCCTGGAAAGCCCCTGATAAAAGCACTGCATTTTCTTAATCAGTTTCCTTTTCTGTAGAATAAATTTCTGTTATGCTTCTTAATCAGCAAAATGACAAACAAATTAAGAAATAACCTCAAACTTAACAAAACAGAACAAAGTCTTCCCTGAAGGTCTTGGAGAACCACGTGAGATCAGATCACAACCCAAGGTCTGCCCTGAGAAATGGGGAAAGCCAGGGACCTGCCACACCTCCCTTCCTCTTGTCTAACTGGAGATGAGAAACTAACTTAATTTTCATGATCTTACTATGTTAGCCTCATACGTAATCATCTTCTCTTTTGTCTAAATGGTTCCCTATTTTCACCTTATACTTAACTATCATATATAGGGCATATGAATATATTTATCTCAGATCCCATTCAGAAGTTGTAAAGGAATACATTATTAATAAATCAAATATTTCTACATTACATGGAAGAAAGTGTGGAACAGTTAAGAGGATGGGTACTGGTCCCAAAGAGTCCAGAGTTTAAACCCTTACTCTATATTATCTACACGATCTGCGCATGTCGCTTATTTTTAATGAGTTTTAGTTTCCTCATTTGCAAACAGCGTGACACTTGTCCCAAAGGATTGAACTGAGGATTTAGTAAGATAACAGGTGTAGAGGGTGTCTTCACAGTGCTGGGCTCGTGTCAGGCCCTCGATAAATATTAATTCAATTCCCCTTCTCCTGCCCTACTACCATCCTTCGGCTCAGAGCAGCCAAAAGCTGGAAAAATAGGCTCCACCCAGAAACTGTAACAAGATAACGATAAAGCACAGTTGGACGGATCAGGGGTAATCTACTGAGTTATCCCTGTTTTAAACCATTGTGTTTGCTTCTGTGCGTAGGAGAATCACCCCATGCTGAAGGGCACGTGGAACATTTGCACAGTTGCCCTTGGGAACATGAAGAACAACCGTTCCCTTAGCCAAGCCTAGGGCAGTGTGGAGAAGAGGGGCACATGGGACGCAGGTCCCTCTGCTACAAGCTTGACTGCCATCGGAAGCTGGGAGACACCAAAGGGTGGCCCCAGGGGCTCTCTGTCATCTTATGGTGACTCAAAAAATGCACATTCCTGCATTGATAACAATGGGTATTTTTATTACATGAAAATCTATGTACTTACTATTTGTGTTCTTCCCAACATTCAACTGACTTTTCTACCTGATGCAAAATGCAGGAGGGCTGTTCACGACTTCTTCCTCTCTTCCTCTTCTCCTCCTATTCTTCCTCTTTCTTCTCCTTCCTTCCTCCTTCCCCTCCTACTGATGTTTTTATTTCTATCAACAAAAATGAGAAAAATCACTTTCAGTTACAAAGTAAGTCTGAAACTATATCAAAATAATTTAGATCTTTAGTAGATTGAGAAAAAACACACGAACTTTTTCAACTTGCAGGAATAAAAATGTCAAGATTATTAACTCTGTTCTTTATTTTTAGTGAACTATAAAAAGGTTTATTGATAATTTCTGTTGAGCAAGATGACTTCAGAGTTTATATCATCTAGGCCTTAAGATTTACTAGAATTTTAATGTATCATTCTAAAGATGTGCTCACAGAATACCCCTCAGTGTTGCTTGACCGATAAGGGTACACGCTACAAACACGTGGAGAAAAACGTGCAGAGCTGTTCGTGCAAGAAATTAGTGGCCATTTAAATTCCTCACTTACCAACAAATTAATAGATTCCTTCATCCTAAAGAGTGCAAGTGTATTTTAGGTCCATGCCATAAATATTTAAAACTATCTCATCTTACTGAAAATTTATATAACACATGACCTTTGCAAAATTGCAACCTTTATTCTTCAAGCAAAACTTGGTTTCTGCTGGTCACCACAATGTGCTTCTTTTGGACACCATGTATAACTGAGATTGAATTGTAACTGTTAGCAGTGGAGAAAGCCTGCGGCAAATCAACTCAATTGAATTTTGTGTTCACAGATGCTTTGAGTTTTACAGAGTCTTATATTCCATTTTCAAGTGCATCATTCAGGACACAGGCCCATTTTCCATATCCCAGATCACCCAACCAGTCCAGGGCTATTTCAGAAACTTTCCTGAGCATATAATATAGACCAACGCTAGGTTGTAAACTACGTATAAAATTCTAAGCCCCCCAACCAACTGAACAGAAACTTCTTGGCCAAGAGGACCCCAGAGAAAACTGAAAAGCTGTTTCTGGCCCTGAAAGAAAGGGAGGTCAGACACACCTCATCATACCTCCTCTGTTTTGGAGTTTGGACTCAACAAGTAACCAGCAGCGGTGTTAAAATAGAGATCCTAAGACTGACAGAACAGACCCCGTGTGGCCATAAGATAACAAATTATGAACAAGCCCTAAGGCCATGCAAGGCAGGTGTAAGTCAGGCCTGCAGGCCATCAGGCTTGCTAACCAGGGCATTTTATTGTGGCTGACTCTGACAGAGCATTCTTACCTTCCTTTCTGTCAACTCTAAGCTGTAGACAGGGCCTTACTCCTTTAACCAATCACAAACCAGAGAATCCCCAAGTCCACCTACAACCTATAAGACCTCTCCTGAAGATAATCCCCCTTTCTGAACCGAACCAGTGTATACCTTCCATGTGTTGATGTCTTTGCCCGTAACTCCTGCCTCCCTGAAATGTATAAAACCAAACCAACCCGGCCACCTCGGAACCACTTACTCAAGCCTTCTTGGTTGCGTGTTTTCTCCAGGCCTCAGTCACTCATATTGGTTCAGAATAAACCTCTTTAAAATATATTACAGTTTGTTTTATCCATTAACAAAGTCAAGCAATTAGTTCTTAGATCTGAAAATATAACTATTACTGCACTAAAATAGATTAATGAAAGAGGATATACTAGATACAGGAATATGAATAGCACAAAATGTGGCACATTTGTGGAACACAGAAAAGGGATTCTATGAGTTAGCCAGTTAAAATAACTAAGGCCATGGCCATTTCACATCCCAGGTCCAGAATTTGAAAGATCAAAGTATCTCCATAAAAAATATATATTTTCCCCTTCGTGCTTGAAGATGCAATAGGCAATGTTATGGTAAAGTCAGGAAACATGAGTCTGTCTTATTTCGTTTCGGACCCTGAGTTGGCTGTTTCACATCTTTCCACCAATTCACAGGCGTGACTTTAATTATCACTCATACCCTGTACTTTTTTTTTTTTTTTTGAGACGGAGTCTTGCTTTGTTGCCAGGCTGGAGTGCAGTGGCGATCTTGACTCACTGCAACCTCCAACTCCCAGATTCCAGCGATTCTCCTGCCTCAGCCTCGCAAGTAGCTGGGATTACAGGTGCATGCCACCATGCCCAGCTAATTTTTGTATTTTTAATAGAGACAGGGTTTCAGCGTACTGGCCAGGATGGTCTCGATCTCCTGACCTCGTGATCCGCCCGCCTCAGCCTCCCAAAGTGCTGGAAATAAAGGAATGAGCCACCGCAACTGGCCGCCCTATTTACTTTTAAATATATATTTCTAGTCCAGACTTTTCTTCCACGCCCATACTTGAATATTCATGCATCTTCTGAATTGTTTCCACTTGGATTTTTCTCAGACACCTAAGATTCAGCCTGTCAATTCTATCCATCATTCTTCCAAATCCTCTTCCTGCCCCTGAGCTCCCCCTCCCAATGCCTAGCAGCATCATTCCCTCCTGACACTTCCTTCTTACCACCCCCCCACCTATGCCCTCCTGCCACAATTAAGTTCTGTGAACCCATTTTCTTAAAAACTCTTTAATTCTTGAATTCATATCATCATGACTTCTCACCTTCGCTATTGTAACAAAATTTAATGATCTCCCTGCTTCTATTTTTTTGATTCCCTCTCACATTTCCTTCATAGCAATCTTTTAAAATTTAAATCTAACCCTGTCACCTTTACTTTAAAATCCCTACAAGGCTTCTTACTGCTTTCAGAGAAAAGTTTAGGCTTCTTAGTTCAGCATAGAAGACATCTGTTGGTTAAATGTTGAGTAAATTAAACTTTGAGCTTTTATTAGGTAAATTAAAATCCTTTAACCTCTAAGAACTCTAGCATCCTAGATGCAATACCAAATCCTCTATCTAGTACTTCCACCAGGGCACCTCCCTCTGCCCATATACTGACCCCATCCCAACTACTTAACAACCCATAGGTTGTCATAAAGAAAACAGAGACTGACAAGGCTTAGAGACCCTTAGAATACTTTTATAACCTCTTCATTTTCATAGTACCTTGAGTGCAAGCTGCTCCATCTGAGACACGACTCTTTAGAGATGAAGCTAATCAAATCAGTACATGTTCAGCCCCCTTGCTATCCAGCTCCTCACCATACCATAACACTCCACATGCCATAACCAGTGCCTACCCCTTCACAAGTACTTGGCAAGGGGCAAAATAAGAAGATTTTGATACCTTCTAGAGAAGACTAAAATCATCACCATGCCCAGTCAGGTTTTTCATCTGTTCTTCTGAGGGCAGCTGCAAGAGGTTGCCTAAGAGACTTTATCTGCATAGTGACAGCCTTTGTTCAGTGCAATTCCACCCCTCACCTTCCCATAACTTGTCCTGTTCAAATTCCAAAGAGAATAATTTATAAACTAATTTCTGTCTCCCAGGCCCATTCAGTTCTCCTGAAAAGCATTTTACTATTCCTCAAAATTACCTGCACACTAATCTCCCCTCTTCCCTACAAAAAGAATGCTATTTAAGCCTCAGCTGTATGGCCCTTCTTTGAGTCTCATATTTATAGGGCTCGCATTTTCATGTACATATTAGCAAATCTGTGTGTGTTTTTCTCCTGTTAATCTATCTATTGTCAATGTATTTTGGCAGGATAACTCAGTTATCACACCTCCAGAGGAAAAGTTTAAACTTCTCTACATGTATTACTCACAATTTTTGCCATGGTCTCCTAATCATTCCAAAGTCTATGTGCCTGCATGATTCAAATAAGCTTGATTCTCTCCTTGCTTGGCACACAATGGAAAAGAATCTATAACTCATATTAATAAGTTTCATTTGTAAATGGGAATCATAGAGACCTTTAAAACCAGCCCTAAATGTGAGGCATTAGATCAATCTAGAGTCATTTGCATTCTAATAGGTCAAAGTTATCTCAATGCTGTATTAATACGTTTTACCATATTTAAAGAAGAACATAAAAATGGAATTGCATTCCGATTTTTTTCATTAAAGTTAATTTAACCAAATTTCATAGCTTAAAGGCACACAATTCAACTATCTAGATGTAACAGTGAAATACAGTTTCTGAACTGCTTTGACTAGTAGACAAGATATATTTCTTAATTCCACTTTTATTTTACTTATTTAATCTTCAGGCTATACAACAGTAAGGAACAAACAATGACATTCTCATCTCAAGGCACAAGCATTTATATTATCATTCCCAGTGGGGATGTTGCAGAAGCAAGTTTTAGGTTAACAAGATTTAATTTGTTTTTACTTCTTTTGAAATCAAATCATAGGGTTTTTTAAAAATAAAATGAGAAGTATACGGAAATAAATCATATATAAAGTTATAGGTTAGACATTGAGCTCAAATGTTAAATAAGACAGAATGAGAAAATCAATTCTCCCCCAAGATTAAGAAAGGTGAGAAAAATGTACCAGCACTAGGAGGATGGTAGGGACAGGCTTCCTCCTGCTTGGTTTTATGTATTTAACAAACCTGTCTTGGCTACTATGTGCTAGACATTGATCTATGCACTTTAGAATATTAATTCACCTTTATAGAAACCAATGAAGAGGTTTAGATATTACTATTTTATCCATTTTTAAATGGGAAAAGGAAAGCCATAGAGATTAGGAGACTTTCTTCAAGTCACGTGCTTAATAAGTGGTAAGTGGCAGGGCAGGGATCAAATCCCAGGTGTCTGGCTTCAGAATTGTCTCAGCCACTGGGCCATGCTGCCTTGGTATCCCTTTATAAAATCACTAACTGGGCACAGAAAATACATCTGGGTATGGGATTTGCAAATGTTTTCTCCAAGTCAGTAGCAAGGCTTTTCATTTTTGTTTCGGTGTCTTTTGAAATCCAATTTATTAATTTGTTATTTTACAGATTGTGCTTTCGTTGCCTTAGCCAAGAAATATTTGACTAACCCGAGGTCACAGAGACTTGCTTCTGTTTCATTCTAGAAGTTTTATAGTTTTAACTTTTACATTTAGGTCTATGAACCATTCTGAGTTCATGTTTACATATAATGCAAGGTAAGGACCAAAGTTCATTTTTTTTTGTATATCTAAAAGTCCCAGTACCATTTGTCACACGGCTCTCCTTTCTCCACTGGACTGCTTTGGTGCTTTTGTTGAAAAATCTATTCTCCATATACATGGGGTTCAAGAAGTATTTTTATCACATTTTATAGGAAAATGGAGGTGTTGGTGAAAAAAGCCAAACTCTGTAGAATATTTAAAGAAGTTTATTTTGTGTTGGGAACAAGCCCCCCAAAATCTGGTCATAAACTGGCCCCAAAACTGGCCATAAACAGGATCTCTGCAGCACCATGACATGTTCATGATGGCCATAATGCCCATGCTGGAAGGTTGTGGGTTTATGGGAATGAGGGCAAGGAACACTTGCCCCGCCCAGGGCAGAAAACCACTTAAAGGCATTCTTAAGCCACAAACAATAGCATGAGCGATCTGTGCCTTAAGGACATGCTCCTGCTGCAGTTAACTAGCCCAACCTCTTCCTTTAATTCGGCCCATCCCTTCCTTTCCCATAAGGGATTCTTTTAGTTAATTTAATATCTGTAGAAACAATGCTAATGACTGGCTTGCTGTTAATAAATACGTGGGTAAATCTCTGTTCGGGGCTCTCAGCTCTGAAGGCTGTGAGACCCCTGATTTCCCACCTCTATATTTCTGTGTGTGTGTCTTTAATTCCTCTAGCTCAGCTGGGTTAGGGTCTCCCTGACCGAGCCGGTCTCAGCAATTCTGGGCCAAATATGAGTGACCATGGCTCAAGGCACAGTCTCAAGAGCTCCTGAGAACATGTGCCCAAGGGAGTCGGGCTACAGCTTGGTTTTATTATTTAGGAAGACATAAGACATCAATCAATACATGTAAGTTATACATTGGTTCGGTCCAGAAAGGCGGGACAACTCAAAGTGGCGGTGGGGGTGGGAGGTGGTTGGGGCTTACAGGTCATAGGTGGATTCAAAGGTTTTTCTGATTGGCAATTGGTTGAAAGGGTTAAGTTACCATCCAAAGGTTTAGAATCAATAGAAAGGAGTGTCTGGATTAAGATAAGAGGTTGTGGAGACTAAGGTTCTTCTTATGTAGATGAGGTCTAATAGGTGGCCACCCTTAGAGAAAAATAGATGGTAAATATTTCCTATTCAGATCTTTAAAAGGTGCTAGACCCTCAGTTAATCTCTTCAGGATTGGGAAGGCCTGGGAGGGGAAAGATCTAGCTATGTTAATAGATGTTCTTTTTTTTTTTTCCGAGACGGGGTCTCACTCTGTTGTCCAGGGTGGAGTGCGGTGGCGTGATCTCGACTCACTGCAACCTCTGCCTCCTGGGTTCAAGCAATTCTCCCACATCAACCTCCCAAGTAGCTGGGGCACCACCATGCCAGGCTAATTTCTGTATTTTTAGTAGAGACAGGGTTTCACCATGTTGGCCAGGCTGGCCTCAAACTCCCAGCCTCAAGTGATCCACCCACCTCAGCCTCCCACAGTGTTGGGATTACAGGCCTGAGCCACTGTGCCCAGCTGGAGATTCTTTATAGATGCAAATCTTGCCCCACAAAAGATGGCTCTGCAGGGCCATTTCAAAATATGGCAAAGAGACATATTTTGGGATAAAATATTTTGATTTCCTTCTTTATCTGTCATGTAATATTATACTAGAGTTGGGTTGAAATGTGGTATCTTGTTACAAAGGTTGTGTTTTGTCAGTGTTATGATCTCTGTTTCAGTGTTAATGTTGGTGGCTTGTGCCTGAACTCCTCCTGTCCTGGCCTGACCTAGCTTTTTAGGTTTCTTTGGGCCCCCTTGGCTAACAGAGGGGTCCATTTTAGTCGGTTGGAGGCTAAGAATTTTATTTTTGGTTTACAAAGATGTCAGACTATTAATTAACTCACTGAAGGTCACACAGAAACTAGACTCCCATCACATCCCAAATCCATTTTTTCTCCGTGACTTCAGCAAGCTACTGAACTCTGCTTTTCTCTTTCCTTAAATATAAGATGAGAATGAGTTCCAGTCCCTACCTACCCGGCTGTCTGACCAAGCTCATTTCTTCCCGATTTCCTATTGATTGACGTTAGACAATTCAGGCCTGTGTCCTGGTTTTCTTTTTTTAAACATGAAGCCCCCATTCCTGTACCGAAGAACCAAAGTGGACCCTGACCAGGAGGAATTGAGGCACCTTGTAGCCTTGGCCTCTCACATTGCCTTTCCAGGAATTGACCTGAGACACCACAAATGGGTTATTCAATGGGAGATGCTGAAGTAGGCCCTGGAAAAAGACTCCTGGAACCAAGGCTGCCCTTTAGGAGCCATCATGATGGAGACTCATACAAAGGAGTAATCAGAAAAGCCTCTTTGCAGAGACACTAAGAAAAAGGGGTGGCCACTTGGAGAGATGCTGAGATGAGAAACCTCAGCTCCTGGGCCTCAGTCCTCTGTTCCAAACACTTAAGAGGCTGATAGTCAGCTGTCTCCTATATTTTTATAAGTTTACTTCATTTTTTACTAGAAGTTAGTTTAAAGGAGTTACTGTCTTATGATGAAATGATCCCTGAGACGAAGGGTTTCTGCAGAGATTAAATATGTTTAAATAAGGAAATATTTAGGTTGAAAAATATAAAATTGCAGATATGTGACCATTTTTAAATAAAAATATTTAAATAAAAAAAGCAATGTCATCTGCTTTAATCTAGCATACACTGCAGTGCTTAGCATGGTACCTGAGAGCATCAGTTCCTCACTAGCCTGGCCTTGTCAGAGCTTGTCTTCATTTGAAATGTTGGTATTTTGCTCATAATGAATTTTTTGCATTCATTTTGATATTTTAATATTATGTTAACTATTTATCTTAATGACTGAATTTTTTGGTGACTTCTCAGTTTTGCACACGAGGCAAATGAGGCAGTTGCTCACCTCAGTCCTGGCCCTGACGCAGAGCTCATCATTAGCTCGTTAATAGTGTACTTGTGGTTGGGTGCGGTGGCTCACGCCTGTAATCCCAGCACTCTGGGAGGCCAAGGCGGGCGGATCATGAGGTTAGGAGATTGAGACCATCCTGGCTAACATGGTGAAACCCCATCTGTACTAAAAATACAAAAAATTAGCCGGGCGTGGTGGTGGCCGCCTGTATTCCCAGCTGCTTGGGAGGCTGAGGCAGGAGAATGGCATGAACTTGGGAATTGGAGCTTAGCTTACAGTGAGCCAAGATCACGCCACTGCACTCCAGCCTGGGTGACAGAGCAAGACTCTGTCTCAAAAAAATAAAAAAAAGTGTACGTGTTTGTTGTATTATTGAAGTTACTCATGGAAAATAACTGGATTGCAATCAACCAGTCCTTTTGTAATCAGTGTATCTGATTCATTAAAAGACAGTCTTAAAAAGTACTCCACACTCTGATGATGGAAAATTGCCCACATATCAGTACTCACACAAGATATACAATCTTTTTTTTTTTTTTTTTTTTTTTGAGTTTCAAGCTGTCAAGTCGTGAAAGAAAGGATATATTTTTAGAATGTGGCTTTAGGGAGGAGTTGAAGAAGAAAAAACATTAATTTAGTGTCTGTTCCCTGCTAGGCACCGTTCAGGTAAATTACAGATGTTAACTCACTGAAACTCAGAGCTACTCTGAAAAGTGGGTGCTGTTACTCTCACTGCAGAGACAAGAAAACTGATTATAATGAATAAATCAAGATCACATAGCAAGTAAATGACAGACATGCAGTTTGATGATTTTAAATATTTTCACAACACCATGCTGTCTCTCATTTAGTTTAGAATAATTTTGTGTCACTCTAGATTATATTTTCACTTTAAAAATCCTAGGAGCCCTAGAGACTATGGTAAAACAATACCCTTTTAAATCAGCACTTTACATAATTCTGGGATTTATTTTTTATTATATTGTTCTTTTTTGAGATGGAGTCTTGCTCTGTCGCCCAGGCTGGAGTGCAAGGGCACGATCTCGACACTCTGCAACCTCTGCTTCCTGGGTTCAAGTGATTCTCCTGTCTCAACCTCCTGAGTGTCAGGCCTCTGAGCGCAAGCTAAGCCATCATATCCCCTGTGACCTGCACATATACATCCAGATGGCCTGAAGTAACTGAAGAATCACAAAAGAAGTGAAAATGGCCTGTTCCTGCCTTAACTGATGACATTACCTTGTGAAATTCCTTCTCCTGGCTCATCCTGGCTCAAAAGCTCCCGCACTGAGCACCTTGTGACCCCTGCCTCTGCCCGCCAGAGAGCAACCCCCTCTTGACTGTAATTTTCCTTTACCTACCTAAATCCTATAAAATGGCCCCACTCCTATCTCCCTTCGCTGACTCTCTTTTTGGACTCAGCCCGCCTGCACCCAGGTGAAATAAACAGCCTTGTTGCTCACACAAAGCTTGTTTGGTGGTCTCCTCACGTGGACACGAGTGAAACCGATAGCTGGGATTACAAGTACCCGCCACTATGCCCAGCTAATTTTTTTTATTTAGTATTTTTAGTACAGACAGGGTTTCACCATGTTGCCTAGGCTGGTCTCGAACTCCTGAGCTCAGGCAATCTACCTGCCTCAGCCTCCCAAAGTGCTGGGATTACAGGCATGAGCCACTGCCTCTGGCCTTATTTTTTAAACTGGGAGTCAATTGCCAGGCTACTGTATACCTTTGCATTTATAAGTCATAAGTGTTCATACGCAGCCATGAGGTGCTAGGAGGAAGAAGCTCTTCCACGGATTCATTCAGGCATTCACCGAACAAATATCTGAGACTTCATGCTGTGCTAGGCCCTAAGAAAATGACAGATTGCTCCTGCCCCACAGGACCTACTTACAACGTAGGGAGACACTGTGTGTTGAAATAATTTGCTGGCCACTTAGAAAAAACATTATGTTTGGACTCCTGTGTCACAACTCACCTCAAAACCAATCCTGGAAGCACATAAGAATTAATGTGAAAATTAAAACATAAAAGAGCTAGGTAAAAGTAAAAAAAAAAATCCTTGTGGCTTACATGTGGACTTTGTAGATATAATACTGAAAGCTAGAAACCATAAAGAAAATATTGTAACTTAAAAGTTCCCTTGACCACGGAGCTCTCTCACCTGAACACTAGTAAAGCACTGCGCAGATTCACAACTCATCCTGTCATTGTTTTCCTTATCAACACTAGCCCTGACAACTGTTGTAAAAACAAAACTTGTCAGCACAATTTTTAATTGCTGCAACTTTTCCATTTTGAAAATTCAGGTTCTGCTCTTCACAGTGTAGCATCAAACAGTCAGAGTTGCTGCTTACCATGATCTCACCAAGCCAAGGGGACCAAGCCTTCTTCCAACTTATTCTCCAGCCTACTGTGAAAAAAGTCATCAGGTAGCGGGAGAGAAAGTAGAGCACGTGCATTTCAAAGAACCTTAACTGGAGTCATCGGAGACTTCAGAACGTCTTGTCATGTTCTTATTTCCTCAGTAAATGCAGAATAATAAGCATGTGGCCACAAGCTTTGGCAATGAACACAGCCTAATCAAAGCTAATGCAAGTCAGGCAGGGCCTCCAAAGAGGCCCTGTCTAATCTTTGCACCGTCCTTTTAATACGTTCGAAGGGCTTCTACACATTTAACCCCAAGAAGCACAAAGGCAGGAGCCTAAATTAAGTTCAAGAAGACGTCTCACCCACCTTGAGTGACAGGTGGGTAGAGAGCACTGGTGACACTGTTGTTCCCTCCCCAACAGCCCCACAGAAATGCAAAGCCAGTCAGATCCAACCCCGACTGCTCATCCTCCTGTCTTTTCTATCTCAGTTAATGAAATGGCCATCTACTCAAATCCTCAAGCCAGAAACTTATCATTGTTTCTCTTTCCTCTCTCCTGGTCCTCACAGCTGTTCTACCTTCTGAATACAATCCATGTCTCACCAGCTCTAAACCAGACTCTGGGCTCTGAGCCAGCATCGTCTGTAGTGGGATGTAGTGGCCCCCTGAGGAGTTTATATCCCCCAACTCCGCCTACAAACATCGAGAGTGATCTTTTGAAAATGTAAATCAGATCATATCACTCCCATGCTTCAAAGCTCTTGAAATGCTCCCCGGCCACTTTGAATGACATACAAATTCCTAGTGGTGGCCTCTAAGACTCTACATGATTTGGTCCTGACTGGGTTTCTGACCTTTGTGATCATGTAGCTATTAAGCAACACTTTAACTGATTATTTGTAGAGGTCCACAATGGATTATAGAATATTATATATAGTTGAGAACAATATTTAAAAGAATATGTAGAGAAATACACACACACAATACACACATGCATATATACGTGTATATACACCTATGATTATATTTTAGAGAATGCATATGCTCATGCCACCATAGGAAGCACACAGGACCAGCCTCCTTGTTGTCACATACTCCCCTTTACAGAAAGAGCCCCAAAACAATTGTTGCCCTCTTCTCAGGGGGCATTTCAGAATCCTTGGGAAGGATATTCACTTAAACGCTTTCCATTTTGGCAATGAATAATATCTTAAGAGGGTTAGAACACTTGTCAACAACCACTTACACATATTTTTTTCCTAAACTTCATGCTCTTCAAAATTGAGAAAAAAAAATTAAGAACTATTCTTGTCTTCAAGAAGACAAAGAATACAGTCTGCCTGAATTGTGAATTCAAAGGTATATTCTCTCATTCAAATTACTATTTCTATTGTGTAGAATTTCTCCTCTCATTCAAAAGAAAGAAATGTGAATCTTCTCATAGGGAGGGATGTGTAGCATTTATGTTCTGGAAAAATCCTCTGTGATGAGCCGCATTGTGCATGTGATGCCCACACCCTTCTCAGGATGTGAATCGCAGAGTCCATCATATCAGTGAGCCAAGAAGCTTGGGTATGTTTGCCAATGACTTAATACACAAGAGTGTGTGTTTTGGAAATTATATCTAACATAATGTTCATTTTGGAAAGCACTTACTCTGTACCAGACAGTGTGCTGAATCTTATGCGTGAATCATCTCTTAGCTCGAGACTTTTTTTTTAAATGAGATTTATATTCTCATTTTACATGCAAGATGAATGAGCCAACTTTAGAGATTGAGCAACAGGTTCCCAGAAACAGAGCATGTACGGTCTATGCTCTGCCGCACCCATGAATTAGCATATATTGAAAACTATGTAGGGGCAACAAATGCACAGTACCCCATATAACTTGCTGGGGACCAGAACACGATACCTCCAAATATGGTGCCTTGGCATTCGAGGAAACTGCAGAACAAGAAAGTCACTCTGACCTCCTCCCACCTTTCTGTGTAAAACATAGTTATAAACGATTTCTCTGACCTTCCTCACCTGAAATTAAGTTGTAAGACCCTCACTCCATAGGAGCCCTGCCCCATTCCCAGGGGGAAGGAATGCTACTCAGAAAGGCCAAGGAGAATCTGAACAAGAGACCTTTCTAAGTTCCCCCCAGTTTATTACCATTATGTCACACCCTTTCATCCAATCATAGTTCTACATGACTGTTTATTCTATATCAAACCTAAGCATACAAGTACACGCTTTTCTCTAGATCTTCATTTCTGAAACCTCCTGTGCCATGCAAAACTTCAGTTAAATAAATTTTTATGCTTTTCTCTTGTTAATCTGTCTTTTGTTATCAAGGTGTCAGCCATGACCCTTGTGATGGGTGAGGAAAAGGTATTGCTTTTTCACCCCTACAAAACCCATAACATGTTAGCTCAGTCAGAGCCTTCCCCCTCAAAAAGTAACATGCTAATTTCTTTTAATTGGGTTCAGTTATGTTACCATAAAATATGGTACCTTGACATTTGAGGAAACTGAAGAAGAAATATCACTCTATGACTGTCCCTGATCCTCCTTCCTAAAAGCATGTCCTAAAACCTAGGATGGATTTTCTGACCTTCTCCTGAAGCAGGTCATAGGACTCTTATTTGAGAGGTTCTCCCTATACCCAGAGGAAAGGAGCATCCTTATCTCCGAAGACACAGGGACACAGAGAAGAACCTGCACAAAAGCCTTGCTAAGTTTCCTTCAGTGTGTTACCATGAGGTCTACCCACCTTGTCCAGTTATATTTCTTCATGACTGTACATCAAATGTAGCATAAGAAATACACGTTTTTTTTTGTTTGTTTGTTTGTTTGTTTTTGGGATGGAGTCTTGCTCAGTCACCCAGGCTGGAGAGCAGTGGCGCGATCTCGGCTCACTGCAAGCTCCGCCTCCCGGGTTCATGCCATTCTCCTGCCTCAGCCTCCCGAGTAGCTGGGACTACAGGCGCCCGCCACCACGCCCGGCTAATTTTTTGTATTTTTAGTAGAGACAGGGTTTCACCGTGTTAGCCAGGATGGTCTGGATCTCCTGACCTTGTGATCTGCCCACCTCGGCCTCCCAAAGTGCTGGGATTACAAGCATGAGCCACCGCGCCAGGTCAATACACAGGTTTTCTACTTCTTTAGTTCTTTATTTTTCATGAAGTCATGTCATGTAAAACTTATTAGTAGGTTTTATGCTTTTCTCTTGTCAATTTGTCTTTTGTTATAGGGGCCTCAGCCATGAACCTAGCAATGGCTGAGGAAAAGATACCTCTTTTCCCCTGCACTTTTAACTATCTATAACAGAAAAAAAAAAAAAACCTCACTTTGACAAGCACACATTGAAGTCTCCCCAGAGAAGGAATCAGAGCCGTAATTTGTTTTTTTCTTTTAATTTAGATTTTACTTCTATCCTAGATCAGTCCCATTCTTTCTGCTATTTCTCTGGTCCCAGACCTCTTTATTTTACCTCACAACTAGTTTACCAGCTCCCTTAAGGTGACCCATCATTAACTTTCTTTTTTAATCTTTCAGCTAGCCTATTGTCAACTACTCCCAAAGCCTGGAAAGAAGCTCTGCCCATTGTCACTCTCCTGCTCTTGATATATCTGATATTGTTTCTGATTCTGCTATTTTCTGACATGCTTATCAAAAAAGGCCTGATTTCCAAATAATGAGAAACACCGAACTAATATATTAAAACATGGAATTTGTGCAGATGCTTTATAGAGAAACAATAACATTCATAATGTCAATATTTGATGGTAAAAGTGAGGACTGAGCCTGGCTCATGAGGGATGCTGGTCTATTTCTCCATTTCACTTGGGATAGCCACACTTGCTTGGTTAAGCTCTTGAACAATTTCCTTGTGAGACAGAACCTTTAAGAACGACGTAGGCTAAGATGAGAAATGGAAACCAGCCAGTTCACTGACCTTAAAGAATACGAACAAAAAACCAGAACACCTGCTTGTTCTTTGGCAGGCACAGCAGCTGTGGTACACCTCTGGCTCCTGGCCTTCCCACCCACCAGCCATCCTAAATATACAGAACACAAAATTGGGAAGGGCTATAAGCGCAGTGAGAAAACTCACTTAACTCACTTAAGGCTATCATTCTTTCTCATGTTTTTTTTTTTTAATACAATTTTAAAATGTTCTCTTATGTAAAATATTAAAAGGAGGAAGAGATTTTATTTACCGTAAGCAGCTATTGAAGAAGAGAGAATGATTCCTTGTTAACTGGATCTTTTCCTTGAGAAACAACAGCAGTGTTTGAAGTCTCTGGCATCTTACTTGGGAGGCTGGTAACAGCTTGAATTCATCATTTCAAATAAAGTTTTCATTGAAACTAATTTTTTTGTTCATTAAACATAAATAGAATCCTATGTAAAAGGAGAAAGTATTTTGTTAAAAAATGTATCTAGTGAAAAGAATATTAAGTTATTCAATTCTGTATTCATCCATCCACCCATCCATCCATCCATGTACTCTCTGTATACATTTGCTGAGAACCTATTGTATGCTGGGCACCATGAGAGGTGTTAAGATATCGAGGTAAACAAGATGCATCTAAGTTAATATATGCTTTCATCTTTTAAAAGTCTACTTCATTCCTACCAAATATTTTTTAGCAACCCTGATGATCAAGCTGAGAAACACTGGTTTCAGACACACACACACACACACACACACACGAGACACACACACACACACACCACCCCCCCACCCCCCCCCGCCCCGATGTAACCCAGTGCAGACTCAGCTGCCCACCGCTTGCAAAGTCAGTAACAAGGAGGAAGTCTGTAGTGAAAGGAAAGTTACTTTGTTTCCAAAGCTAGCAGCAGGGAAGCAGGCTGCTTACCTTACGCCTCCAGAAACCTCTTAAAACTTTAGGCTGGGGAGAAAGGCTTAAAAAGGGGAAATTGGAATGGGAGGCCCGTGGGAGAGTGCATTGCACAAGGTCTGCTGTCTTGTTCTGGTGCCTATTTCAAGCTGTGGTCCACTTGAAGGGCAGGTTGCTGTCATCTCAACAATTGACGAGTTGTTGACAGCCACCTTGAGGTCATCACTGGGACTTTGCAGCGGAGTCTCCATGCTTGGTCTGTCTTTTTTTTTTTTTTTTTTTTTGAGACGGAGTCTCGCTCTGTCGCCCAGGCTGGAGTGCAGTGGCGCGATCTCGGCTCACTGCAAGCTCCGCCTCCCGGGTTCACGCCATTCTCCTGCCTCAGCCTCCCCAGTAGCTGGGACTACAGGCGCCCGCCACCACGCCCGGCTAATTTTTTGTATTTTTAGTAGAAACGGGGTTTCACCGTGTTAG